>NC_000006.12:155222305-155373820 GCF_000001405.40 Homo sapiens
TAAGAACACATGGGTTGGGTGGGCGTGGCTCACGCCTGTAGTCCCAGCACTTTGGGAGGTTGAGGCTGGTGGATCACTTGAGGCCAGGAGCTCAAGACCAGCCTGGCCAACATGGTGTGACCCTATCTCTACTAAAAATACAAAAATTAGATAGGCATTGTGGCTCGTTCCTGTAATCCCAGCTACTCGGGAGGCTGAGGCATGAGAACTGCTTAAGCCCAGGAGGCAGAGGTTGCAGTGAGCCAAGACTGCACCACTGTACTCCAACCTGGATGACAGAGCAAGACTCTGTTTCAAAAACAAAAAACAAACAAAAAAAAAAAACACAAAAAAAACCATGGGTTTTTTGCCCTAAGTCTTACACTGAGGAGCCGTTTCTTCATCCTTGGGTAAGTTGTCAAACTTCCCTATCTGTGAAACTCAAGGGTCCGTCTGACCAGCTGTCCTGCCCTGATGTCTCTCCCTGTCTGTCTTTCTGCCTGAATGCCTGATCCAAAGCAGCTTTCTGCTAGATATCCCTTTTTATCCCCATGAATATGGAGAGCTGCTTAGAAGAAGAATCTTAGCAGAACCCTATTAGAATTTGCTTCGGTCGTTTATTGTCCTTCATGCATTTCATTGAAGCTAAAACCTGTAAGATTTTTGGAGGCTTCTCAGGTAATGGTATGCGAAGGTCAGGATGGTTAGATACCGTATTTCCAGATGCTCTCTGCTCTTTTATGCACTTACGTTATTTAGGAACTTATTTCAAGCAGACCATTTGAGAATCTGAGGAAAGCTATGGGTCCCCAGAAGATTGCTTATGCACATACGTTAGAAATTGCAGACAATTCCAGGGAGCTCCCCAGTCTTACGATGTTTATTCACAGCTTTCCCTGTTAGGAATTTATGAACCGTCAGTTTGTGATCCTTACTTTGAGTAAACATCTGAATAGCCTAGCCTGTGTCTTAATATTATTGATATTGCAGAATCAGTTATCAAGTACCTGCAATATGAACAGCACTGTGTTTATATAGTCAAGTGATATTTTGAACTTTGTTTTTATCTTAGTCTAATTGCTTGGGTGAGATTAGCTATTAATGCTTTATTTTTTTAATGTGCTAAGAGATGTTGAGGAACGTTAAATAAATAACAACCCCTAGATGGCAAATAAATTATTAGGTTGAGACCAGAATAGATTATATTGATGATGGTGGTTAGACATCCCCAGATTTTTTTTTCTTTTTTTTTTTTTTTTTACTCTGCACTTCAATGGATGCAAACCCAGGTTGTTAAACACCAATCGCAGCATTACGTGCTGGGATGTTTTGGCATTTTGAAAGTTTTATTTTCTATCATTAGTGAACAAAATGGGTTTTTTTTTGGAGTAAGAATTTTAACATTTTGATCCCAAACCAAACTTTTATGGATCTCTTTAGTAAAATAAATAGCTGTCTGATGGACTAGGAGGGGTGTTTTTTATGCTCAGCGTAAGGGACGCTCAGGTGGCTGTGGCTCCTGTGTTCCCCGGCAAGGGCGTTGCCAGTGAATTTCACCCTTCCCCTTTCCATGTCAGCAAATTAGCTAAGCCCTTGTTGTCGTTCGCCCTTTTTCTTTTAAAGAAGTAATAGGCACAATTACTATCTAATTTTGGCTTGCCACTGTGTGGGTGCCTGGAATCTCATCCGATCTTTAATATTTACCCAGGGGGGTGGGTGTAGTGTCGCATTATTCATTCACTCATTAAATCCCCTTCACCGAGGCCTGCTCAGATGCTTGCCATTGTTCAAAGTTCTGAAATCGTCACCTGGCTGCCTTCTGTCAATATTCTTGCGTAGAGATTGTAGTCCAATGAAAACCTTGTACTGAGTGAAAGAAGATGTGTTTGAGTTTCAAGGCATTTTCTGTGCCTTTCATGACTCATAGCAGATTCTCACCTTGTGATAAAGTTCCGGCTCCACAGTGGTGGCTGCTTTTGCTTTTGCAAAAGTAAGTTGTGAGAAATTGTTCTGAGTCATTTTGCAATTTCCTCTATAGACTCAGCTAAGAGTAGATGTGTGTGTCATGAGTAGATGTGTCTGGAGTTGAGGGAGGAGGGGTCATGGAAAAACTCTGCCTGGAAGTGCTTCATCCAGGTACACATGATGGTATTTTCACCATCTCAAACACTAGCTTCTAACTGCTGAAGGTTAAGATGGGATCATTCGTTTTGTAAATCCGTCTCCTGCTGTCTTGATAATAACATGAAGAAAAGGGCAAGAAAAACATGGATGTGTCATTAGTATGGAAGGAAGGAGGAGAATGGAGGTTTGTTTTAAAGGCACCCCCAATTCTCTTTCCCTCTTTCATCCTTTCGTTGGTTCTTGCCCCTTCCACACCCCGACTGTGTTTGTTCAGCCTCCAGCGCATGCTGCCGCCTCTGCTATTCACCTGCCTTTGCGCTCTCTCATTCTTTGCTGCCACCTGAGTCCTCTGGTGTTTTCAGAAAACAGCTGGCAGAGGAGGAGGCTCTGAGATGTGCAGTTGCTTAGAAGGTTCTGGCCTGGCATCTGCACAGCGGGGATTTCATCACCAACTGCTCAGAAACCACAAATGCTGCATGCCTGGAGGAGTCCTGCCATCTTCCTACCTTGCATGCCACTCTCAGCTGGTTTTGGGATTTTCTATTTATTTGTTTGTTTGTTTGTTTGAGATGGGTCTCGCTCTGTCACCCAAGCTGGAGTGAAATGGTGCGATCTTGGCTGACTGCAACCTTTGCCTTCCAGGTTCAAGCAGTTCTCCCACCTCAGCCTCGCATGTAGCTGGGATTACAGGCATGCACAACTGCACACAGCTAATTTTTGTATTTTTGGTAGAGATGGGGTTTTGACATGTTGTCCAGGCTTGTCTCGAACTCCTGACTTCAGATGATCCACCCACCTCGGCCTCCCAAAGTGCTGGGATTACAGGCATGAGCCAATGCACTCAGCTGGGATTTTTAAGAGTTTATTCCCTTCTTGGTTCATTCAGGCATAGATAAAGGGCAGTCTGAGGGCCCGGGTGACACACCCATCAGGACAGGTTGGTGCTCTGCCTTCCTCTCATTTGAGCACCGAGGTCTTGAATTTGGGGCTTATACAGATGAGTTACCAAGATGGGGAAAGGTGGACCATCAAGCAGTAATACAACGTGAGGCTTACAGGTAACTTCTAAGTGTGGGGCTTTAAAGAAAGTCTCTGTTCACATTCTGTCACCCTCACTCTGTCTCTTCCATCTTTTTCTTGCCTGAGTGTCCTGGTTCTGCTGCCTTCTCTAGATCCCCAGCTCTTCTCACCACCAGGGATACCTGGCTTTGGTTCCCATGTATTTATTGATTTCTATTTTTAAGAAGTTTGATCAAAACTGTCAAGTTATTTATTGAAAATGATAGTTGTCTTAGTTTAAATCTTATTCCATTTCTGTTAGAAGTCAGTGTAGATTATAGAGTGGTAAAGTCTCAGATAAATACTTATATAAATAAAGATAGGTATTGTTCCATATAAGATTATCATTATTTTGAGAACCTGTTGATGAGGGTGCCAGATGTGACTGTTGCATTACTCAAATCCAGCAAAAAACACTGAACAAAAACCATAATTAAAGGGGCACACAGGGTATCTGTGCTCACTTTAAGGCAAGTAGCCCTTGGCAGTACCCCTGCTTAATTAAGGTTGCCAGGATATTAACATGTAATTGATGTTTTATATACTTATAACTTTCCTCCCAGAAGCTACAATTTTTTTGAAACCAGATTCCAAGCATTGTTTTAAGCCAATATTAGAAGAGAAAGTGTAGGGCTTTCTAAGCATGAAGAGGATGTGATTTCAGACGAAATCATAGCACCTGGACCCTGTCTCCCTGCCCCCATCCCATTCTTCATAAGCGATGAAAAGCATCTTTGATCCATGAAACCTGAAAAAGCAGCCATCAGTAGAAGTAAGTGTGACGGCTGAAGGTGTCATAAGATACTAATGTACCAGTGGGGAATGGGATGCAAGGCTGCTCAGCCTCAGTAGCCCCCTTGGCTGGCTGAGCATCTTTGTGGGCTCCGCTTTTAAGTGGAAACAAAAGATTGCTGATGGTAGGTTGGGTGTGGTGGCTCACGCCTGTAATCCCAGTACTTTGGGAGGCCGAGGCAGGTGGATCACTTGAGGTCAGGAGTTTGAGACCAGCCTGACCAACATGGTGAAACCCCATCTCTACTAAAAAAAATTAGCTGGGTATGGTGGTGCACGCCTGTAATCCCAGCTACTCAGGAGCCTGAGGCAGGAGAATCACTTGAACCCAGGAGGCGGAGGTTGCAGTGAGCAGAGATCGTGCCACTGCACTCCAGCCTGAGCAACAAGAGTGAAACTGCATCTCGGGTGGGGGCGGGGGGCAGGGAAGAAAAAAAGATTGCAGATGGTGAAATTTAAATGCTTAAAAAAATCTTTAAGAACTCATAATTTGCCTGCAACAAATTCAGGTGGTGACATAGTCCCTTTCATTCCCCCAAGTCAGAGCCCGTGCCCCTGTGTGTCTGTCCCCATCAGTGAAACTGGGGCTTGGTTTCTTCTGGAGAAGAATAATCCAGGGCAAGTCAAGCTGTTTGTTTTGCGCCCCTGTCTCTGTTGCTGAGTTGCTGTCACCTTGAGTTGGCTCTGACTGTCCCGTGGCGAAGGCCATCCCAAACAGCACATTTGCAGTATGTGCTCGGAGAGTGGGATACATAAGAAACAGGAGAGTTAACTAGAAGGATTTTCCCTCCTGCTCTACTAAGTTGGAAAGGAAAGTAGATGTTTGTCTCTTAATTTGCTGTTGCACAAAGTGAAAAGATACTTGGACCAGAATTGCTGGAGCTTTCCATGCACTCACAGTGGGCTTTGGAAAAATCATTCACTCCCTTGAATCCTTATTTGTTAAGAAAGTGGGATTCCATTTCCACAACTGTTTCATGGCTGTGAGGTGAAATAAAGACTAGGCATGCGGAATGGCTTTGTAAACTGCAGGGGTGCTGAGTCAGTCTGCGGAGACTTAGCCCATGGCGAATACAATGTGTTTTAAATACATCACTTCATTTAAACCCGTTTTCCCCACAACCCTATTGAACAGATATTACCAGCCCCATTTAGCATGAGAAAACTCAAATTCAGAGATGTCAACTAGCAGGCCAGTGTGTCCTAGGCAGTGACTGTACCACGGATCGCGCCCAGCCCTGCCAGCTTCTAAAGCACTTCTTCCCATGACACCACACTGCCTCGTAAGGAGAATATGGCACTGCGTGTAGAAGAAAGGGGAGAAAACTGTATTTAAGTATCAGACTCATGGCATATGGGTGTATTTACTCTTCAATTGATTTAAAGGTAGAGCGACTGTATTTGTGAAATTGCAAGGTACGATGTTAGAAATCTGGACACGACTTTTTGGTTCTTTAGCTTAATTTACAAAGTTGGTTACACCCCCGTCGACAAGAGGAATCTGTGAGGATATAGAGATCCAAGGCTTATGTTCCAAAAGCAGGTAGACTGTGACAGCTGGAGAGAGCCAGCAGAGGATGCAGCCTCCTCAGCAGTCTAGAAGCACATCTAAGATGCCCAAGGAGTGTCGGCAAGGAACTGGAATGGGCGCAACCGAATTATTTTCTGAGCATCTTAGAACTATTATCAGAGCAGAGTGCTTGGTCTGTACCTGGGAGCCAGGTGCTGCTCTATTTTTTGTTTCGTTTTCTAGGTTAAGGCAGCCGGGAACCCACATGGATTACAACTAGAAAGAAAATCAATTTCTAGGGAGCCAGAGAAAGGGAGGAAGGGCTTAGTGAAGGGAGAGTCTGGGCTCAGGTAGTTGGGCAGAGCTGTCCTAAGCAAAGCTGGGTGGACACAGCCTGAACTGCTAAGCCTAAGTATGTGGGATCTCCCCCTTCGAGTATGCGACTGAATTTTGTCCTCAGTTTTCTGTAGGATAGACTTTACCTGCCCAGGAAATTGGTGGCTAACGGAGATTTGTCAGAGCTCTAGTCTGTCAAGAATTTGGTTATAGTTGCTGTTATTGACACATTTTGTCTTCAAATAAAGTGATAAAGATAATCTTTTTGGCGCTTTATTGTCCAATCATGAATATATAAAAAGAAAAAAGTCTCAACTCAATACGGTCTCAGAGTATGTAACACTGAAGACCTTTCCTGGCTGGGCATGATGGCTCATGTCTGTTATCCCAAAACTTGGAGAGGCTGTTAATCAGAAGCAAAGCCATATCTTTCTTTCCGGGTGAAAAATGGGTTAGAGAAAATGCAGTTCCTGGCAGAGGAGGCATACATTAGACAGATTAGCCTTAAGGGTAGCATTGAAACTCCCAGAATTTTATGTGAAAGAGGTGGCTGGTTGTGTAGAAATGCTGCCCTGGCCCTTGAAACTTCCTTGGCAGAGAGAACATCTTATTCATTCCTGAATTCCGACCAAACTCCTGTTAAATAAGGAAACCGAGCAGAAGGCAGGCAGCGAGGACACACAAGCCCGACGCTCCTCCTGTTCCCACCGCTCTGGCACCAGCTGCTCAGTTGCTCCGTCCTGGGGAGCAGGGGTCCTCCCTGTGACTCTGGTCTGGGAAGCCCCACAGCAGTGACCATGGCGCTTCCTCTCTCCAGCATGCAGCTCTGACCTGCCTTCCTGGGCATGCCCCCTAGGCACTCAGGATTTGCCACTTGGGACATGCACATGCTCTCTGCCTTCTCAGGAAAGTATGTCCGCATTTCCTCCAGACAGCGGGTGGCCACTGCCCACCTCCTCCCTCTCTGACCATGACTGGTGCTGCTCATTCCAGCCCTGGCCTTCTGCACGCCTCCCCTCGTTGTTACTCTTCCCATAGCCCTCGCCACTTTATTGAGATACTGAGTTTTGTTGTCACTGTGCCTGTTGCCTCTTTCTGCCTTTTATCCCTACACCCAGAACAGAGCCTGGCAGACAGGAGGTGCCCAGTAAGAAACTGCTGATGAGATGAATTTGACTGTTCTTGCCCTTCCTTTGGGGCACTCGGGAAATTTATTCTTCCATACTTGTAAAAATAGAAGAACTTGAGACATTGAATGCCCTGTGCAAATTATAACTTTCATTGAGCCCTGGCCTTTGTGGAATCCTTGTACTATGCTAAGTATTTTTACACTGAATGCTCTTGACCACCCTTTAAATGTGACCCCTGCTTTTATAGGCAAGTAAACTAAGTCATGGAGCAGTTAGCCATGATCACACAGCTGGTCATGGCCATGGCCAAGAAAGGTTTGTTATAACTCCAGAGCCTGTGTGCCTAAGTCTCCTGTCTTGAAAGAAGTAATTGTTGAAGAAAAGCTTAGTCTCAAGCACATTCTGAGGCCCTTGGTGTGAGTTTCACACTTACAGTGGGATTGTGAAAGGGGGCAGAGCCCAGGTGTATTAATTCATTTTCATACCACTGTGAAGAAATACCCGAGACTGGGTAATATATAAAGAAAAAGAAGTTTAATGGACTCACAGTTCCACATGACTGGGGAGGCCTCACAATCATGGGGGAGGGTGAAGGAGGAGCAAAGTCACATCTTACATGGCGGCAGGCAAGAGAGCGTGTGCAGGGGAACTGCCCTTTATAAAACCATCAGATCTCGTGAGACTTATTCACTATCACGAGTACAGCATGGGAGAAACCCACCCCCATGATTCAATTACCTCCCACTGGGTCCCTCCCATGACACATGGGAATCATTACAATTCAAGGTGAGATTTGGGTGGGGACACAGAGCCAAACCATATCACCAGGTGACACCTGTACCACCGAGAGTACAAATCCACCACATAGCCCATCATGCTGTCACCTGTAAGCTGTGTGTCCAGTAGGCAACAGGGGCTGCTGAACTCACCTCCAGGTGGGTCTCCTCCACCCACTCCTGCTCTCCCCTGAGCTCGTCTCCTTCACAGAAAGTTCACCACCTCATGCCCCTCGTCTTTGTGGTGTCCACAGTTCCTAACTCGCACCTGCCAGACCCTGCCTCTCTGTCCTGCCTTGGGCCACAGTTACACTGGCCTTCAATTCCTGACACACTCTGTGCTTCCCCCAGCCCCAAGCTGTGCACAGTTTAGCTGACTTTAACCCTGGCTCCAGTGTTAGCTGTTCCTGTCCTTGCTTCAACCAGAGTAGCTCTCTCTGTTGTGTTTCCGTAGGACCCCCCACTTTCGGCACTGGTCACCTTTGAATGACTTGCTTAAAGCTTGTCTTCCCAGCCAGACTCAAGGAGTGATTTGTTCATCAAAGTGTCTTTATGGAAGCAGAATGTCTTATCAGGCCTTTTCTGCCTCAAATAATTTTTTTTAAGTGGTAGGAAAAGATTCCATTAAAAATTGTAAAAATTCAACCGCTATAAAAAAATGAGAAAACTCAGATAAGCCAAAAGATTAAAATAACTTGAAAGGCAGTGTTAACCACTGCATTTATTATACATGTAGTTCAATTTTATAAAAATCTATGCATACATATTTATATAAGTAAATATACATAAAATTACTTTTAAATTACTTTAAAATGGCAGAGCTACTTTTTTTTTTTTTTTGAGATGGAGTCTCGCTCTGTCACCCAGGCTGGAGTACAGTGGAACGATCTTGGCTCACTGCAACCTCTGCCTCCCGGGTTCAAGCAGTCCTCCCAACTCAGGTCCTGAGTAGCTGGGATTACAGGTGTGTGCCACCAAGCCTGGCTAATTTTTTTTTTTTTTGTATTTTTAGTAGAGATGGGGTTTCACCATGTTGGCCAGGCTGGTCTCAGACTCCTGACATCAAGTGATCCGCCCACCTTGGCCTCCCAGAGTGCTGGGATTATAGGCGTGAGCCACTGCACCCGGCCCTACTTTCTTCCCTTACCAGTAAATCACGTCCTTCTCTTCTGGTCAGCAGATGTTGGTCTCTGGCATCACTGGCAGCTGCTGCATATGGCTCCTCTTCATACTGCAATTTCTTTAGGTGACTGTTTACTTTCACAGTTTATGTTCTCATTCTGCCCAGGAAATAGAACCTTTGGAAATGGAACTGTCTAGTCTAGAAGACAAATAATATGGGGCTCTTTGGAGCAGCATTTCTTCCTCCTTTTTGTACCATTTTGATAAATATAAAAATTTCATACAATTTCCCTGGAGTATTTAGTGTATCACTATAAAATGAATGGTTTGTCCTCAACTTTAAATGTCTCTAGTCATCTTGAACCTGTTTTTTAACTCCCACCACACCCTGCCAAGGGGCTGACGTGCTGCCCTTTTCCTTCTCCACTCCACGGAGCATGCCGGTCCAGGAGAAACTGGATGTGGTGTTGCCCTCTATCAGCCTGTGGGCCCTGCCAGCTTCCCCCCAAGCACTAAATAGAGTTCAGCCCTGAAATCCTGACCTGGCTGCAGTGGGGTAGCCCAGGGTAGCTGCAGCTGGATGTGCAGACCAGGAGCCCCTTGTTCCCACTGTGCAGTCCAGATGTGCAGGATCCACCTCCACTCAAGAGCATCATCTGTGTTGGGCATGGTGGCTTGCGCCTGTAATCCCAGTATTTTGGGAGGACGTGGCAGGTGGATCACCTGAGGTCAGGAGTTTGAGATCAGCCTGACCAACATGATGAAACTGAAACCCTGTCTCTACTAAAAATACAAAGATTAGCCAGGCTTGGTGGCACGCACCTGTAATCCCAGCTACGTGGGAGGCTGAGGCAGGAGAATTGCTTGAACCTGGGAGGCAGACATTGCACTGAGCCGAGATCGTGCCACTGCACTCCCGCCTGGGTGATAGAGTGAGACTCTGTCTCAAAAACAAAAACAAAAACAAAAAAAAACAAAAACTGGGGAAGTAGTCATTCAGCCCTCTGTGGTCCTTCCAGATTCCATCCTTGCCAGTGATATTTGGGGATAATACTAGATCTTTCTGTAAGTTAGACAGTGACTTTTACGAAGTTCAGAGTGAGTTGAGAAAAAGTCCTTCGTGCAATTTTTAGTGTTTTTTTTTTCCCGTTTTCCTAAAGGGAACTTTTCTGACTTAATGAATTTGCTTGAATATGACAGCTGACAGTGTCATTGCGCTCTGAGATTATTTAGTAGTGCAGCCTCCCCATGCCTTCCAGACAATGAACTGGGAATATTGTAAGTGCTCAGTGTATGAGAACGCAAACCATATAAACCACACCCTTTCTGGGGCTTGACTTTCCTTAAGGATAACTGACCGTTTGTCCCAGGCCTAAATGTATTTTGTATTTTTTCTAGCATTCTATTTCGGTGCAGGAGGAGCAGCAGAACCCTAGTTCTTCTGACTGATGTCCTGGTTTGGGGAAACTCTGAGGACATGAGACTTGGATTCAGTCCAGGCTGATGGCTCAGCACAGAGTGGGTCAGGATTCAGTCCAGGCCTATGGCTCAACACAGAGTGGGTCGGCATGCGGAGGGAGAGGGATCTCCCGCCAGGGATCTGCCGAAAGATCATACTGCAAAGTGACGGGACCAGCTCACCGAACAGCGTGGCAGTCTCTTTCCTAGTAGCTTTCTATGTTGGTTACGTCTGTTACGGATCCTCCCCCAACATACTTTTCCTCTAAAGCAGGAATTGAAATGTAGTACACACTGCAAATGCTGTCCTTCATCCTTGTTTCTGTATGCCACATTACCCCAAATTACGCAGCACTTTTAAACCTTTTTTCTTAGACTGAAAGTGTTTTCTGAGCCCAAGCAACACAAACAGGTGCCTTTGACAAGAGTTTGCAGTACCCAGAATCCCTAAATGAGGCCACAGCTGCACCCTGAGCCAGGAAAGGCGGGCACGTAGCTCAGCTTCTGATGCAGTGGACTCCTGCCACGTATTTCATGCAGTAGCTACAAAATTTCAGGCATAGTCTTGAAATAGTTCTGGGTAATGTGATGTACCTACCCCGTAGTAGTTTAAAGATTCCAAAACGCACAGGAAAGTTGAAAGGCCTCAGGCTGTGATGTCTCTGAATAAGACAAAAGAGAATATCAAAGTTGTTGTGATCAAGGGAACAGATTTCACAAACTGTCATCAAGAGGAGGCCATCATGGTATTTTTCTAATGAAAAGTATTGCACTGAACCCAGGTTAGAAGGTTCATCTGAGTGACTCAGAGCTTGGTTTGACAAAGACTCTGTCCTTCAAAGACCGTCAAAGAGGGTCTGGGCGAGCTGCTTGATCGTCCTAAGCAGTTTTCTTGCCACTCCTAAGAAATGGGTTTATGGGCTCCTTGAAAATAGACAAGAAAATGTCCTTATCCATACATTAAAACACAAATAACTGCTTAGACGTCTGCCTGAATTCAGAGCTCTTGAGTGGGATGCTCCTCATCTATAAATAAGATAAAATCATTTTCAAGCAGGGATCAACCTTAGTATAACATTAAAAACCTGAACTAAAGGCCCGGCATGGTGGCTCACGCCTATAATCCCAGCAGTTTGGTGGGAGGATCGCTGGAGTTCAGGAGTTTGAGACCAGCCTGGGCAACATAGTGAGACCCTCCCTTCTCTACTAAAAATCAAAAGAATTAGCTGGGTATGGTGGCATGCGCCTGGAGTTCCAGCTGCTTAGGAGGCTGAGGTGGGAGGGTTGCTTAATTTCAGGAGTTTGAGGCTGCAGTGAGCTATGATTGTACCACAGCACTCCAGCCTGGGTGGCAGAGTGAGACCCTGTCTCAAAAAAACAAAACAAAAACAATTTGAGAGAAAATTTTTTTTGGGGGGGGGTTGGGGTTCAATATCATTGCTTTTCCAGATAGCATAATTTTTGGAAAAAATGTTTTTATTTAATCTTTTTATGACTTCTTAAAGAAAATATTGGTTTCATGCTCTTTTATGAAAGCTGAGGCCTGTGATGGACCCAAGTTTGTAGCATTGATTGCTACAAACTGGAAAAAACCAATCTGAGGCCCCCATTTCAAGTGCCCGTGTTTTTTATTCTGCATATGCACATCCTGTTAGGCCACTGAATCCTCACACTCCCAGCCCTAAGTTATGATCATCTGTCTTTTGCTTTTATTTATTTACTTTTAGAGATAGAGCCTCACTCTGTCACTCAGTGGTGTCATCATAACTCACTGTAACCTTGAACTCCTGCCTCAGCATCGTTAGTGGCTGGGACCACAGGCATGTGCCACCACAGCCAGCTAATCTTTTTATCTTTTGTAAAGATGGGTTTCCCTATGTTGTCCAGGATAGTCTTGACCTCCTGGGCTCAAGCCATCCTCCTGACTTAGCCTTCTGAGTAGCTGGGACCATAGGCGTGTGCCACCATGGCCGGCTAATTTTTTTTTATCTTTTGTAGCGATGGGTTTCCCTTATGTTGTTCAGGCTGGTCTTGAACTCCTGGGCTCAAGTGATCCACCTGCCTCATTCTCCTAAAGTGTTGGGATTACAGGCATGAGCCACTGTGCCAGACCAGTCTTTTGCTTTTAAAGCAGCATTCCTGGGGTGGGGGTGGAATAGGCTCAATAGATGTCCCAGTTGTCTGCATATGAGCTGTTTCTGCCTCTCTAAGCAGAGGTGGTCTCCAGAGGCAGGTGGCTGCATCCCTAGAACACCTGGGGCCAGGAGAGCCCTGACCACATGGGAGGCAGAGGCAGCAGGAGGCGTGAGGAACTAGATTGCTTTGCCTGTGCTCTGCTAAATACCTGGGAGTGGCAGGGGCTGTGCGGACAGCTAGAGAGGGGAACAGAGCTAGAGACGGAGCACAGCTAGAGATGGAGCACAGCTAGAGACAGAGCACAGCTAGAGAGGGGAACAGAGCTAGAGATGGAGCAGAGCTAGAGAGGGGAACGGGCCCTGTGCCATTTAAGGTCTCGCTGAAGCCTCCTTGCCCCTCAGCTGGAAAGCCCTGGAGAGTCATGGTAAAGCTGCAATGCTGGCATGTTCTGTGAGAAACCTCCCAACTGTGCCTTGTGCACAGCAGCTGCTCGGCAAACACGAGTTTCCTTTTCTTCTTGACCCAAACGGCAATTTTAGCAGTTACTTGATGGAATAGGCATTCCTGCTGCCTTTTCATCAGGAAGGACACTGAAGACTTAGAATCGAGACTTGCCCAGGAGTGCACAGAAGGCTGGGGGTTGAGCCTGGACTGCAGCCCAGGCCTTCTGACTCTCATCTGTGCTTTTCAGGCCTATCACCATATATGCATGTGAAGATATCCCAGCCCAGATAATCACTATTCCTATAAAGTGCTGATCAGGTTCACCCAGAATGTCCCTCTAATGTTTGTAAACATCACGAACAGTGGGTGAACTGAAATGTAATCACCCAAGTGACTCCTTCAGCTACAATCTGAAAAGACACACTTATAATTACTCTTCTCCTTTTGGGGGCCCTGCCTCCTTTTGGTCCCAAGTAATCCTCACCAACTCCCTTAGACAACAGCTAAAATGTTAAGTGTACAAAAGGTGGCTTTCTAGCACTTGAACACTTAATTGTGGTACTTTAAGAAGTAAATCTGCTATGAAAAATCTCAGCTAACATTCACTTTTTGGGAGTTAATCTTACCAGAAAAGTTCATAAAGTGAATTCTGTTTTTCTAAAATGGCAAGATACTTTATTTGTAAGATCTCGTTACTTTAACACTGCATTGTTAGGTGTGATTTTTGACATCCCAGTGAAGCAAAGCCATAATCTCACCAGATGCCATTTAACTTATGATGTATTTTATCAGATCTTATTTTATACAGTATATTCAAGCTTAATATAGATTCTATAGCCCTGGGAACTGTTAGTTTTCAGGACTGCAGAATTATATTGTCTGAGCTTGTGGTGCAAATCCCAGTACAGAGATTTCAAATCAGTGAGTCTTGGAGTCCGAGTATTATCATCGTGAACATTTTAGCTCACTTCATAGGAGGCCACAACCAGAACACCAGAGTCATGGCTGTGATTCCGTCAATTTCCTGTAGCCCGTGAGCTCTGTCCACATACCTCAGTGGGGACCCTGGGACAGGTGATCCCACTGGAGCCAGCACCACTCCCAGAAATCCAAGCAGAACGCGAGCTGTATGAAGAGTAGACCAGCAGTTCTCATGCAGGCCACACATTAGCAACACCTGGGGGAGTTTTTTTAAGAAACACCCATGACAGCCAGGCATGGTGGCTCATGCCTGTAATCCCAGCACTTTGGGAGGCTGAGGTGGGCAGATCACCTGAGGTCAGGAGTTTAAGACCAGCCTGGCCAACATGGCAAAACCCCATCTCTACTAAAAATACAAAAATTAGCCAGGTGTGGTGGTGGGCACTTGTAATCCCAGCTACTTGGGAGGCTGAGGCAGGAGAATTGCTTGCACCCGGGAGGCAGAGGTTGCAGTGAGCTGAGATCGTGCCACTGCACTCCAGCCTGGGTGACAGAGCAAGACTCTGTCTCAAAAAAATAAAATAAAAGAGCAAGTCATATCTTACGTGGATGGCAGCAGGCAAAGAGAGCTTGTGCAGAGAAACTCCTGTTTTTAAAATCATCAGATCTTGTGAGATCTATTCACTATTACAAGAACAGCATGGGAAAGGCCCACCCCCATGATTCAATCATCTCCCACTGGGCCCCTCCCACAATACATGAGAATTATTTATGGGAGCTACAAGATGGGATTTAGGTGGGGACACAGAGCCAAACCATACCATTTTGCCCTGGCCCCTCCCAAATCTCATATCTTCACATTTGAAAACCAATCATGCCTTCCCAACAGTCCCCCAAAGTCTCAACTCATTTCAGCATTAACTGAAAGGTCTACAGTCTAAAATCTCATCCCAGAGAAGGCAAGTCCCTTCCACCTATGAGCCTGTAAAATCAAAAGCAAGTTAGTTACTTTCTAGATACAATGGGGGTACAGGCATTGGGTAAATACAGCCATTCCAAATGGGAGAAATTGGCCAAAATAAAGGGGCTCCAGGCCCCATGCAATTCCGAAATCCAGCAGGACAGTGAAATCTTAAAGCTCCAAAATGATCTCCTTTGACTCCATGTCTCACATCCAGGTCACACTGATGCAAGAGGTGGGTTCTCATGGTCTTGGGTAGCTCTGTCCCTGTGGCTTTAAAGGATATAGCCTCCCTCCTGGCTGCCTTCACAGGCTGGTGTTGAGTATCTACAGCTTTGCCAGGCACAGGGTGCAAGATGTCAGTGGATCTGGGCTCTGGAGGATGGTGGCCCTCTTCTCACAACTCCACTAGGCGGTGCCCCAGTAGGGACTCTGTGTGGGGCTCCAACCCCACATTTCCCTTCTGCACTGCCCTAGTGGAGGTTCTCCATGAGAGCCCTGCCCCTGCAGCAAACTTCTGCCTGGACATCCAGGCATTTCCATACATTCTCTGAAATCTAGGTGGAGGTTCTGAAACCCCAATTCTTGGACTTATGTGCACTGGCAGGCTCAACACCACATGGAAGCTGTCAAGGCTTGAGACTTGCACCCTCTGAAGCCATGGCTCAAGCTCTGTGTTGGCTCCTTTCAGCCATGGTTGGAGTGGCTGGGACTCAGGGCACCAATTCCCTGGGCGGAACACAGCATGGGGACCCTGGGCTTGGCCCAGGAAACCACTTTTTCCTCCTAGGCCTCCAGGCCTGTGATGGGAAGGGCTGCCAAGACCTCTGACATGCCCTGGAGACATTTTCATCATTGTCTTGGGGATTAACATTCAGTCCCTCTTTACTTATGCAAATGTCTGCAGCCAGCTTAGATTTCTCTTCAGAAAATGGGATTTTCTTTGCTATTGCATTGTCAGGCTACAAATTTTCCAAAGTTTTATGCTCTGCCTCCTCTATAAGGCTGAATGCCTTTACCAGCACTCAAGTCACATCTTGAATGCTTTGCTGTTTAGAAATTTCTTCTCCCAGATACCTTAAATCATCTCTCAAGTTCAAAGTTCCACAGATCTCTAGGGCAGGGGCAAAATGCCGCCAAGCTGTTGGCTAAAACATAACAAGGGTCAGCTTTGCTCCAGTTCCCAACAAGTTCCTCATCTCCATCTGAGACCACCTCAGCCTGGACCTTATTATTCATTTCACTATCAGCATCTTTGTCAAACCCATTCAACAAGTCTCTAGGAAGTTCCAAACTTTTCCACACTTTCCTGTCTTCTTCTGAGCCCTCCAAACTGTTCCAACCTCTGCCTGTTACCCAGCTCTGAAGTTGCCTCCACGTTTTCAGTTATGTTTTCAGCAGTGCCCCCGACTCAAAAGAGAAGCGATTCTACTGAAGGAGCTCAGCCATCTGGGAGTTCCCATGGCAGACATCTGTTAGGGTCTCACCCTTACTTGCCCCTTGAGGTAGGCCTGGAACGTTACTGGGCTCCTTTTCCCACTGCACCTTTGGCACATTCTCTGGTTCTCCCTTGGAGCAGGCTCCCTCCAGGACATGTTACAACCCTTTCACCGAAGCCTTCCTGGACAACCGATTCTAAAATGCTGCCTCTATTCATTTAATGTTTATTATAACTCTTCATTTGTTCCACAGAAGTCTTTGTTGATTCCAGATTGCCTTAGGCTATGCTTTGGGGTTTCCAGCCTTGGTGAGTCTTACCTCTTTGTGTAGGAACTGTTTCTACTTCTTTGGAGAAAAGCAGGCCCTCAATTGATGACCACTGAATTGAACTGAAAGACTAGCCAGAGATCAATGTTGAGTTTTAATGTGGATTGTATATTTCCATCATATGACAACACTGTGTTGGTGGGGGTTGGGGCATAGAACAGAGAGGGCAGTTGAGAGTGGCCTCTTTTTATTTTGGGGTGCTTCAGTTTGTCAAGAGACAGACTGTATAAAAAGCATGCATCAGGCTACCAAGTTTGACCAACATGCTTGTGTAAGCTTTCTGCAATATCCAAGGAAAGAAAATGAATTATGTGAATATTAAGAGATGCTCCTGAGAAGTTCAGCTTCTTACCCAAGACAGAGATGGATAGAGGTCAGGCATGAAGGCATTTAAGCTGAAAAAAGGAGAGTTTTTTAGTTGACAGTCAGAAAGTTGCTGGCTGTTAATGGATGCCAGTCATTTGTGTTGGGACTCAGCTGCGTTGTTCAGTAAGAATTTCAGTGCAGCAGAGGTGGGCCGAGTACCTCCTGTGCTGGCCAGTGAGCTGGCTGCTGGCGGAGATGTGAAAGAAAGAAGCCACCCTGCCCTCACTGGGCTTCCAGATGGGGAGGTGGTGAAGTGGGGTGGAGATGTGAGGGTGGAATGGAAAGAATGAGAAGTAAAAGGACACTTTGTAATCTGACCCTGCTCCAGCAACTGTGGAAGCGTTTCACCTGTGAGGCTTTCCAGCCAAAGTCTGGTGGATACAGATAGGCTGTCTTTGAGAAGGCGGAAGCACATGGTGCTTCTGTCTGAATAGGAGCTTGTGCCAAAGGCCAGTGGTCCCCCCAGATGGTCATGTTCCTTCTTGTCTCTTCATCTATGTGATTCCTTTCCCATGACTGGGAGCGAGTATTTCCTCTGAGCCCACATTCCCTAGGCCTGGCCCTGGCTCCCTGCTAAGACCAGCTTAGCTCCCTCCTCGCAGAGGTTTCCTCTGGGGCTGGTTGATCCCTGGCCTCTCATCCTCGCCAGGCCTTATGTGTCCTCTGCTCCCTGCCTGTGCGCTCTGCAGGGCTCTGCACCCCTTTAGGGTGAGGGTGTTACCATCTTCATCTGCTTCTACTCCATTACTAGCATGTGCACCAGCTCAAGAGTTTCTCACTCATAATTCTACTTGCCACAAGACTGTGGAGCTGAGCGGTTAGACTGGAGGGCAGAACTCCTGGCCCACTGTGGCCAGGTCGTCCTGTAATTGCTCTTGGGCTGTGCCTCTCTTGAGTCTCTCCGGGCTGTTCTGTGTGGGAGATGGAAAACTGGATTAGGCCAACCATTGAGGGGACTGGGTGGGCCTGTTGAGGCCATCTGCTCTTGTTGCTCCCTAGAAAGCCATAACTTCTTGATTTCAGAGCTACCTCACCTTGACTGCAGAGGGTTAGCCCTAGGCAATGACTCTGTAATTTCAGGTCCAAAGATACATCTAACAGCTGATGTGACAATGGAGAGCCTCGTGTGTAAACACTGAACATGAGTGTGGGCGCACATCTTCCTTACTCAGATCCGAAATGATAGCCAGAGGGGTTTGAGGTGAATGAAACCCTTTGCCCTACACAGAGGCCCCTCTGAGATCCCTGCTGAGCACAGACGGAGACACTTGGTGCCCTTGGGGGCAGCGGATACTATCAGGGAGAGGCCCGTGCATTATTTTCCACCTCTTGTCCTCTCTCAGAGTGCTGAGCAGATCACTGCACTGTGCAGGAGTTTTAACGACAGTCAGGCCAACGGCATGGAAGGACCGCGGGAGAATCAGGATCCTCCTCCGAGGTCTCTGGCCCGCCACCTGTCTGATGCAGACCGCCTCCGCAAAGTCATCCAGGAGCTTGTGGACACAGAGAAGTCCTACGTGAAGGTAAGGGAAGAGCTGGCATTTATGCATTCGTGCCTCTTTGATGATGGCAAGTGGTATGCTGGCAGAGGTCCCCAGATCACCTCTGCCCAGGACACCTGCCACTCCCCAGGGGGGGACACCTGCTCCTTGAATCAGTGAATTGCTCAAGGAAGGGAGGGGAAGAGTGAGAGGGTGGAAGAGCTGAGGAGACTCAGAAAAAAATTAGATCCTTGGCTTATTTTGTTACCAAGGTAGCTTTCACTATGGAAACAGATGTTCTGGTTTGTCATTTGCAATCTGTGGGAAGGGAGTCTGTACTGGTTTAGTATAAGGGGAGAGAGATCACTTTAGGTGATGAGGAACTTGGGAACAATCTGTACATACGTGACGGCTGATCCAGGCCCCACAGTCTTGGCGGTGGCCCGGGCCAGCCCTGCCTGGTGGTTGTCATCGTGTAGAACTGGGACGCACACACTGGGGAGTGGTCAGCACGTGGGAATATCCTTGCACCATTATGAAGGGGCAGTTGCCGAGTATCTTGAGTACCCGAAGAATTCATTTATCCATCTCATAAGCCCCCAGTCAGTGGTTTGAGAAAGATTTTATGAAGAATACTGGAGCCTGGGGAGCAGAGTTCTTTTGCTTTGTTTCCTGGAGCTTTGGTACCATTTGAAGCTCGCTTCATTTGTCAGTTACTGAAGCAGCGCGGCACGGTGCGGTGGGCTGAGGGTCCAGGCCCGGCTTTGCCTCCCTCTGGCTGTATGGTGGATGGCCCCCTTCAACTCCCTTATTTGGGGTCTGAGACACTCGGTCCCCCTTCTCTAAATGTCTTCCAACTCTGACGTGCTGGGTCCATGAATTAAGGCTTGGCACACACGTGCGGCTATTACCTTGCTCTGCAAGACAGATCTGAGCTTCCCCCTTTTGTTGATGTCGCTGTTTTACCAGGACTTCACCTAAGGCCCTATTCACAGGTAGCTTCCCAAAGCCCCTTCTTTTGGCCTCAGAGGGGAGAAAGGAAAGTTAGGAGAGATGACAGTTTAGTTTCATTTTCCATTATGTCTTGTCCTGCATCCAGGGTGTGGAGATGAAGTGAACAGCCAGGCTGTTCAGACTCAAGTTCTGAATAATCCCATCTCCACAGTCACCTTTTTCCAAGTCGCTGTGTGGCGCTGTAGATATTTTGGAAGCTTCAGAGCCCTTCTGACATCTTGAGAATAGTCATGGAGCTCTTGCCCCAAGAGTTAAGGGCAGAGTTGAGAGGAGAATCGATGTCCCTTTTTGGTAATAGTGTTGTTAGAATTTCCTGTTAGGCCACGCTGTACTGGGAGGGTCATTTCAGTGACAGGCTGGCAGAGTACTCAGATGGTGTCATGGGTGAAGTAGACAAGGACCGACTCTCCCTTCTCTCTGCAAGAAACCTGCACTTTGTTTTCTTAGGGCCCCCCTGGGTTGCAGCCCTTTGCCCCCCGCAGCTCTGCGCGGACCTGATTTTGCTGTCCAGGAAGTCCTCCCAGGCAGCACCAGCCTGTGAGGCATGACTGCCAGGCCCCAACACCCTCGGACAAAATAACCCACACTTGGCACCTGTTGTGATTCACACACACACCACCGTTTCTTCATTTCTTTTTTGTTGCTGACGTTTAACACAGAATCTTGTTGTTTTTTAACCTGGATCCCCTGCATGCTCCTTGAAATTTTTGACATCTATGTGTTCCCTGAGATATGATTCAGTAACTTCCATCATCTCCCTTCTCTGAGCGGTCTGGCGTGGAATATGGTGAGGGAAGGCCAGGGAGGTTTTTATGGTGAAAGCATCCGTGTCACAGGCCTTGCCTTTTGCTCTCTGAACTAAGGCCAGAAAGTTCTGGGGATGCTTTGGGCTTTATAAAGCTCTGGGTCTTAGGTTCCCCTCTTGGGAAGTGAGGGAGTTATTATAGCTGACTTTGCAGTCAACTGCTTCTAGTATTTTAGGACTCAAAATTCTTCAGAATAAAAGAGAAATCTTTTCTATCACTGAACTATATCCTGGTCTTGCCTTCAAATTATTATTATTATTATTTTGGAGATGGAGTCTCGCTCTGTCACCCAGGCTGGAGTGCAGTGGCATGATCTTGGCTCACTGCAACCTCCACCTCCTGAGTTCAAGAGATTCTCCTGCCTCAGCTTCCTGAGTAGCTGGGACTACAGGCACCCGCCACCACACCCAGCTATTTTTTTTTTTTCTTTTTTTTAGTAGAAACAGGGTTTCACCATGTTGGCTTGGCTGGTCTTGAACTCCTGACCTCAGGTGATCCACCCGCCTCTGCCTCCCAAAGTGCTGGGATTACAGGCATGAGACACCATGCCTGGCTTTGGCTTCAAATTATTAAACAAAATCTTTCGCTCATGGGTTTTGTAACTGCAGTCTACTCCCACTATACTGTCCTGCTGGAACCTCGTTTGCAAGACAGCCAAATATGGCTTAGAGTTTAGCCATTAGAGCTGCAGCTCTGTGGGAGTTTTTTATTGCCTTTGAATATGTGAGTTTGAGATTCTGTGAATCAGTCAACCCCAAAGTTGAAGGGCTCCCCAGAACTTGACCCTCCCAGCTCCATGCTGGACCTCTCACTGTGCTCCCTGAGGCAGAAGAGGCCAGGAGCTGGGGTGCACCTGACACCAGTGCCACCCAGACGCCCTTCCTCTGCAGGGAAGTGAGTGCCCCTGCTGCAGTGGCCTGAAGAAAGGGTGTTTCTGTCACCAAGACACTTACCTAAGCAGAGGGAATGATCGAGCTGTAAAGGTGTGGAATCCAGCTGTTGCCTGTATTGTGATATTAAACTCTTTGAATTAGGTGAGCAATAATCACTACTTTTGGGGTCAGGAATTTCAACAAAGGCTGGGTGTGGTGGCTCACGCCTGTAATGCTAGCACTTTGGGAGGCCAAGGCAGGAGGATCACCTGAGGTCAGGAGTTCGAGACCAGCCTGACCAACATGGTGAAACCCTGCCCCTACTAAAAATACAAAAATTAGCTGAGTGTGGTGGAGCACACCTGTAGTCCCAGCTATGTGGGAGGCTGAGGCAGGGGAATCTCTTGAACCCAGGAGGCAGAGGTTGCAGTGAGCTGAGATCATGCCACTGCACTCCAGCCTGGGTGACAGAGCAAGACTCCGTCTCAAAAAAAAAAAAAAAAAAAAAAAAAAAAAAAGAATTTCAACAAGGCATAAACTTCATTATCCTGATGGGAGCCTTGGGAGCTGCTGCCAGGTTGCTGCTACCCAAATCTCATGGGTATTTTGGAGACTAAAGCGTTGAAGACACTTTCTTCTATTTTCTTTCAGGATTTGAGCTGCCTCTTTGAATTATACTTGGAGCCACTTCAGAATGAGACCTTTCTTACCCAAGATGAGGTAAATAAAATCACCTTCCTTCTGTCCAGTGATCCACAGGTTAGTCTCTGTTTGCCTTTTAGCAGAACTCCTATGAGAGTATCTCTGTTGATCCCAAAAGAACATCCCAAGACTTAACGGTCTTCTGAGAGTCCCAGGCATAGCCTCCTCCTAAACCACTGCTGTGGCCTCGGCTGCATGACCCAGTGGCAGAGTGTTTACAAAGGCAGAGGGACGGTTATGGTCTTTTTGAGGTAGAAGAGAGTGTGATCAGAAATTCCTTTTCAATACATACCTTTGTAATGTGAAACCACATAATTAGTTCTACTGACTTACATTTTTCTTAATTTGAATTCTGAGAATTTTACATCCACTTAAAAATTTACTGTAGTAATAGAGAATTATGGGGGATGGAGCTGTGAAACTTTCTATGTATAAGCCATATCCCATAATGAATGTGCTGTCTTCTTAAAGGATTTACTTTCTGTCTGCTTTTCCGTGAAGAATTTCCTTGTGATTTATTTGTGGGCCTAAGAGTTAGCGTGGTGTCCTGAACTTCATGGCTAATCCCCTCATTTCAAATCCTGATCTTCACATAGATGGAGTCACTTTTTGGAAGTTTGCCAGAGATGCTTGAGTTTCAGAAGGTGTTTCTGGAGACCCTGGAGGATGGGATTTCAGCATCATCTGACTTTAACACCCTAGAAACCCCCTCACAGTTTAGAGTAAGTATCTCAGATTTAGGCTTAAAGTAAAAATACGTGGCTATGGTACGTATTTCTCTCATGAGAATTCTCTCATGAGAAAGAATTTCTTGTCCTGTGACTATTGACTATTTATTGTCCTGTGACTATTTCCTTGCACCGTTTTCCTCTGTCAGGTGGTAAAGGAAGGCTGTATATATTTTTTTTTCCTGGCGCAGGTGCTTTTGGTAGTCAGAAGTCCAGCAGCACCTCCCGCCTGGTTGTTGACCACGTACGTGCTCTTTTCTCAGCTGCTGTGAAGGATATCCAAGGTGGTTGCTTCTGAAACCAGAGCTCCTACCCTGTGCCCAATCCTTCTTCCCCGTGGTCATGTGGATCTGGGATTAAGAGAATAGGTTTCTAATTGCTGGGCTCAAGCCCTCTCTTCTATGAAGCACCAGTGCTCCATAGCATCCGTGTAAGCCGCAGTGTGGCAGGAAGCCCCTCCAAGGGGACCTGGAACCATACAGACAGCATCACTCTCCCCAAGCAATGCAGAGTCGGCTTTATTAGTGAACCTCTCTCAGATTGTTTATATCCCACCTTGTCAGCTGTATTTTTGTAGAACTTTCTTTGTTTCTTGTCCTTGGATTGCACACTGTCAGTAGGCTCTGCCGCTGGAAACTTTGCAGTCAAGCTAGATACCTGCCAGGGGAGCGCCTGGGCTGTTCCCCACCTCCTGTGTGGATGGAGCAGGTTTGAACTTCTCCAAGGCATTAGTGCTATGGAATCTGACAGAAGCCATGGGGCCGTCAAATGCCATAAGCCAGCACGCATTGATTAAACCATGTCTGATTTGACTTTCCCCTCTGCCCTTCTAGAAATTACTGTTTTCCCTTGGAGGCTCTTTCCTTTATTACGCGGACCACTTTAAACTGTACAGTGGATTCTGTGCTAACCATATCAAAGTACAGAAGGTTCTGGAGCGAGGTAAGTTGCTTATGCCTTTTATAGTTTTTTTTTTTTTTTGCATTTTTAACTGTTAGTAAAGGGTAAATCTGTATTTAACAAGTAGAGAGTAAGTACAATTTTGATGTATTAAGGTCCATCCTTGACCTTGACAGTGGCAAATATTAAAGGGAAAGGTTTCTGTTTCTGTCAGTTAATTAGTAGCTGGGAACAAGTATGCCTAAGAGCAGAGATGTTGCTTTGCCATGTGTCACTTTGCTGTCAGTTACATCTGGATTCTTTTCTTGCCAAATTCCTTTCTCTAAAAACTTGCAACCCCAAACCCTAGATGGGAGTAGAAAGAAATGCATGCTATGGTGTTTTTTTTTTTTTCCTTGTTAATCTTCTTAAGCCTGAGGAGCCACAACAGCCTACCACGAAACTCACAAGAAGTGTGTCAGCTGAAAGTAAAGTCTCTCTGGTGCAACTGGAAAGAGCTCACATTTCCCAAAGGTTGCTCTTCGGTGTTTCTCTCTGCGTGGGCCTGGAGGGCATCTGGAGGTTTATCCTGACGCCCTTAGTGCTCATTCATGTCCACGGATGCAGCTCTGCCATTGGATTTTAATCCAGAACGTCATGATATCCCAGAAGAAAAGCCCCACATTTAAAAAGTGGGGTCTTAGAGTGCTTCAAATGAGCAAGACCCAGCCCAAATCCATCTTCTCCAGTTGCTTTAGACAGTTGCTGAACTCTGTTGCCATTTCCTCCCACAAACACCCTCTTTTTAATTAAATTTAATTAATTAATTTTAAAAATGTAAAAATGTTCGTAGAAATGGGTCTCACTGTGTTGCCCAGGCTGGTCTCAAGCTCCTGGCCTCAAGTGATCCTCCTATCTAGGCCTCCCAAAGTGCTGGGATTATAGGCATGAGCCACCACGCCTGGCCCACAAGCACCTTTGTATTGACAGTCTGTAGTACAGTGAAAGCATACCAATGTACTTGTCAATACATATTGACAGTCAGTGCAGTACAGTGAAAGCATACCAATGGCTTGCTCCATTCCTCCTTTGTCATAAAGAAGAGGGGTCCTGTCACCACCTACTTGGCCTGGTAATCACATTCAAAATGGTATTGCATCTCCTAGAATGTTGTAGATTTTGATCTTACAACACAATCCCAAATAAGGGTGTATCTTCCTTCAGAGTAGCTGCATTCCAAGCAACTGGGCATCCAGTGCCAACTGGTGGAATCCAAGTAGCACTGGTGTATCCGCTGGTACCCAAACCAAATGCACCTGGATTCCTACACACACCCTTCATGGCACTCAGACAAAGGGGCAGTTTTCACTGCCAGAGAGGGTCCTACTGCCATGCCTGTTGGAAGGGAGCTGTGGCTCTAGGTATGCGAAAGGTGAATCTGCTTGGAGCTGTGGAGTGAAGGCTGTAGGCTGCAGGCTGTGGTGCCTGTCACCTTACTTTACAGGAGAAAAGACACTGCTTTCCAGATAACCCTTAAGTGTACAGAATACAAATAAGCAACAACTAGAGTGAGGCCAGTGGGAAAAACACTGGTTTATTTTCCTTTATGAAATTTTTGTGGGTATGGTGTAGGGTCTGGATAACATTGCTTAATGGCTTTTTTGATGTTGTTTTTTTTGAGATGGAGTCTCACTTTGTTGCCTAGGCTGGAGTGCAGTGGCGCGATCTTGGCTCACTGCACCCTCCACCTCAGGAGTTCAGGTGATTCTCCTCCCTCAGCCTCCTGAGTAGCTGGGATTAGAGGCGCCCACCACCACGCCCGGCGAATTTTTGTATTTTTAGTAGAGACGGGTTTCACCATGTTGGCCAGGCTGGTCTCGAACTCGTGACCTCAGGTGATCTGCCCGCCTCAGCCTCCCAAAGTGCTGGGATTACGGGCGTGAGCCACCGCACCTGGCCACGCTTCATGGCTTTTAATGAATTGTTTGAAACTCACTTTTTAGGCCACCTATAACAATATTTCTCATGGGTATGCATGAAATGTGTCTTTAAAGTCAGACATTCCTGCATTTTGAGTCAGTGTTAGTCTTTGGGGCGCAGCCTGCATTCCATCCTCGGAAGCTCCCAGCACTCCAGGGCTCTGTCAGGGCTGTGAGGCGGAATCCCACGCTGACAGCTGGGTGCCTGACCCACTGATGTGTTGGGGTTTTCATTAAAGAATGGCATTAGGAGGACTATAGAAATAGATGATCTATAAATGTTAAAAGAGAAATGAAGAATTTAATTCACCCCACTGTGCTCTTCTGAGGTCTTTTATCCATCTGCTTGTAGCTAAAACTGACAAAGCCTTCAAGGCTTTTCTGGACGCCCGGAACCCCACCAAGCAGCATTCCTCCACGCTGGAGTCCTACCTCATCAAGCCGGTTCAGAGAGTGCTCAAGTACCCGCTGCTGCTCAAGGAGCTGGTGTCCCTGACGGACCAGGAGAGCGAGGAGCACTACCACCTGACGGGTGAGGCGGCGGCGGCACCTCCGGGCGAGGGCCTGCACAGGGCGGCGAGGGGCTGCCAGCCGTGCCCTGGGCCTGACAGCTCACCTCTTCCCCGCCTAGTGGCACGTCCTAAGTCACTTTTCAGTTCTGCGATGGTTAATCTTAGGTTTCACGTGAATATGTGAAACTAGCTAGGCGTCTGGGCACTCCTTTAGAGCTTACAAAATACTTGGGTAGAAATGATCTCATCCGGGTAGCGCCATACTCCTCCTATGCAGGGATGATTCTGTCTTCACTCTCAAAATAAGTAAATTACCTCAGGTCACGTGGCTGTGAAACAGTGCCGCTGGAACTGAAAATCAGGCCTATTTTCCTACCACTTGGTTAAGTTTTGTGGGGTTCGCTGCCCGAGCTGCTGGTCAGATTTGTTGGGTGAGGCTCCACCTTGTGGAGATCTCTGAGCAGAGCTCGGCTTCAAAACCAAACTCCCAATGATGGGTTATGCTTTCAAGTCGCTACTGGTGTGTTACTGTTTGAACCTCTGAAATTACTGGCCTGAGACACAATTTATCAAAAACACAAAGCCTTGCAGTTTGATAGTAAATAGAGGATCCTTAAAGAGGGGCTTTATTTGGGTTGGAGATAGTGATTTGTTCATATGTTGAAACTAGGAGGTCCAATTAAACCATAGGTGATAAAATTTATGGGGAGAGAGAGGCTTATTAACACTTTAGTATTACTGAATAATAAATACTGAGAAGAGCGTAAATTAAACTGGCTTTTTTTCCATGACAAGCATACTTTGGTATCAAAATCAACAAGAGGAAAGCATTTTTGTATGACAGTTAACTTCTATAAGTAAATAATACAAATTATGTTCAGCATTCATACTATGTAAAAACTTCATTTTGTATTAAGATGATCTTTAGAAGGGTTTGATTTAAAAAACTTCCTTCCAAACTTCCCTCCAGTTAGAATTAAAATGCTGAATTGGGAGAAAAAAAAGTATAAAGAATACTGAATTTAGAAGTGACCTAAAATTTTGCTTTTTGGCTTTTATAAAATAATGTATCTCTCATATTCCCTCGCGGAAAGTTATGAACATATACCATATATAAATGCAAACAATTGTTCTGTCAGTCAGTCATGTACTGGGGTGTTTTTAAGTTCCATTTAAACCTAGATCCGGGTTCCCAGAAGGGCAAGCCAAACTCGAGAGCTGGTGCCCTAAGCCCAGTCAGGCTTGGGTTTGAAGCCTGGCTCCATTCTTGTGTTTTCCTCTCTGGAACTCTGGCAGAATATCCTGCACTCACTTTTCTCATCTGTAAAATGGGATGGTTTAGTCTTTGAGTTATTGCGGGCACTAAATGAGATGATTCACAGAAATCACCTGTCGTGATCCTTGCTAAGTAGAAAGTGCTCCAGAAATGTCAGTTGTTGTTATTAGTGATACTTTTCACTGATACTCTGTCTCATTTCAAAAAGAATTTGAAGTAGGAGATAATTTTGCTGTTCTTCATTCTAAGGGCTGGGCTACAGTGGGCTGTTGTGACTTATTCTGAATGTA
Source organism: Homo sapiens (assembly GCF_000001405.40). Classification (NCBI taxonomy): domain Eukaryota; kingdom Metazoa; phylum Chordata; class Mammalia; order Primates; family Hominidae; genus Homo; species Homo sapiens. Next base: position 155,249,726 of record NC_000006.12, read on the forward strand.
ATGCTCCTGCTAGTGGGTACTGGTCTGGAATCCTGAGTTGAATCTTGACTCCATTCATTATTACTGTTGGATAGAATCTAAAACAAATAACAGTTATGAAATAAATATGATTTCATATCTTGCAGAAGCACTAAAGGCAATGGAGAAAGTAGCGAGCCACATCAATGAGATGCAGAAGATCTATGAGGATTATGGGACCGTGTTTGACCAGCTAGTAGCTGAGCAGAGCGGAACAGAGAAGGAGGTCCGTGAGACATCTGCACCCTGGGAGCCTAGTGCATGTGGTGTGGGGTCTGTAGGTGACCTTCTAGATAGGCTGCCCTGTTAGGACTTTCCTGGAGGAGAAAATGCCTAAGATTTTTCTTGATAACAATGTGTCTAATGAACTACACAATTTACATATAGACATATCATAAAATTCATTACACTGGTTTAAAATATAACCTTATGTCACGTTCACATTGTCTGGAACATCCATGGAGGGTGAGAGCTGGCAGAGGGTGGGGTGGAGAAAGGACATGGGAACTGGCATGTGGAGTCTGGGGCTTTTCCTTTTTGATTTTGCCTTTTTTTTTTTTTTTTTTTAACATCAAATATTGGTGGTTACCTGCTTACTTATAAAACTAGTCCAAGCAGGATTTGACATTTTCTGTATTTTTCCTTTTTATCTGATTGCTTAATTTAGAATCTTGTGCTTCTCAAGCCAGCATGCAGGAAGTAGCATAGTTTAGGGAGAAAATGGCAGGAACAGGAAAGGACTGGAGATCAGTCCTTCACTCTGGCCAGTTTCAATGCTGGTGCTCTTTTATCAGCAGCCCGAATGGAGCTCAGAGGTGATGGATGTACTAGATCCCAGGGGAAAGCTTACAAAAGGCACTCTGGAAGAACCACGGACACTGGTAGAGTTCATCTTATGGAAACTGAGTTGGTCACAAGGCATGTCTCACCTACATGTGCGTGCACTGGAGCAAAATGCCTTCACCTTTATGTTATTCATCAGACACTTGGGTGCTTAACTCATATTTTCAAAAGCTCCACCGTTTAAGGCCCCATGTTTACAGGTATCATAAAAATTAAACCAGCTGTGCTTGCATTTTAGCAATGACTGTGTGTACATCACTATCTAACAAGAGATCATCTAGCCTGGGATTTCCGTATCTTCCTTACCTCCTGTTTTTACAATCTAGGTAACAGAACTTTCGATGGGAGAGCTTCTGATGCACTCTACGGTTTCCTGGTTGAATCCATTTCTGTCTCTAGGAAAAGCTAGAAAGGACCTTGAGCTCACAGTATTTGGTTAGTATTCCATTCAGAAGAATGCAGACTGAACAGAGGCTGGGATTACGGAAGAACTTCACTAGCCGCACCAGTCCAGCTCACTCCTGAGCTCCAGGAGTCAGAATTGCTATAATGGTTGGGGACTTAACAGGGCCAGCCCCCAACTATTTGAAACTCCGGCATCGCTCTGCATCCTCATTATCTTGTTCTCCCTTCTGCTGCTTGGCTCAGGCCAAGTGTTACAGGAACAGATCCCTGCGGCTATTTTGAAACCTGCTATCTTTTTCTTTTTCTTTTTCTGAGACGAGGTTTTGCTCTTGTTGCCCAGGCTGGAGTGCAATGGTGTGATCTCTGCTCACTGCAACCTCCACCTCCCAGGTTCAAGCTATTCCCCTGCCTAAGCCTCCTGAGTAGCTGGGATTACAGGTGCTCGCCACCACGCCCGGCTGATTTTTGTATTTTTAGTAGAGATGGGGTTTCACCATGCTGGCCAGACTGGTCTCGAACTCCTGACCTCAGGTGATCCACCTGCCTCAGCCTCCTGGAGTGCTGGGATTACAGGCATTAGCCACCGTGCCTGGCCAGAAACCTGCTATCTTAATAGTCTGCTGTATTTCAAATGTTTTAATTCTGAGAGTTGGGAGAACAAGTGACAGTATATTGTCACTGAGATGAACACAGTGTCCTCAGCTTTCAATAAAACAAAGAGTTTAAAAAAGCCAAGATCAACTTCTAATAGTAGCTTTTAAATAAGCAGGTGCTTCTGCATAGTTCAAATATGAGCGAAAGGGAAGTACCATTTATTCACTCATGTTGGCAGAGTGAGGTCTTAGAGACTCATACGTTTGGAGAGTGTTACTCTGTTAAGACGTTCAGCTCTAGTTTAACCTTGGAAGAGTTTGCATAAAATAAAGACTTTCTTTCTCTTTTCCTTTCTTTAGTTTTTAAGAGAGCCGTCATACTGGTTTATAAAGAAAACTGCAAACTGAAAAAGAAATTGGTAAGGCAAAAATTCATTTTAATTTAAGCTACCTTTTCATAGCTGTATCTTCCTATTAACGTTGAACTGAAAAGCCCACTGAGCACCAAGGCTGGGCTGACTGATACTGCTTACTCTGAGGGTAACTAACCCCATCACATACTGAGAGCGTTTCTGAGTCTCCCCATGAAAGATGTCTGTTTTAAAAGAAGATATACAGCTGGGCACGGTGGCTCATGCCTGTAATCTCAGCACTTTGGGAGGCTGAGGCTTGAGCCCAGGAATTTGAGACCAGCCTGGCCAACATGGTGAAACCCTGCCTCTACCAAAAATACAAGTAACTGGGTGTGGTAGCACGTGCCTGTAGTCCCAGCTACTCGGGAGGCTGAGGCAGGAGGATCAATTGAGCCCAGGAGGTGGAAGCTGCAGTGAGCCTTGATCATGCCACTGCATTCCAGCCTGTGCGACAGAGTGAGACCCTGTCAATAAATACATAAATAAGTAAATAAAGTAGATAAATACTCATATGGGGGCCTACATAGAACATCGACTTTTATATCCCTGAAAATGGCCCATGTTTGTTCCATAAACATAGTCTGTGAAACTTTGGTTTATTTTCAAATGCCTTTTACCTTCACTCAGAAAAAAGCAAAGCCTAGCTGTGGATACCATATGCCATTGGTTTACCATTCAGAGGCAGCGTCAGGGCGTGGAAGCTTTGGCTGCTGTTCTTGCTTTGAGACCTGTAACTGCTTCTGAACCACAACTCTGCCTCCGCACCTTCCCTAGCATGTGAGGTCTTTGAGAACTGGGTGCGTAGCTGATTGACTTCTGTGCCCTGAACACCCACATGGCTGCTCGGAGACTCGCCCACAGGGAGAACATAAACTTCTATTCACTGTGCACACATCCTCCCTCAGTGACAGCTTCCCTAACACTTTTCTTGGTGGGCCTTCATGTTACAGCCCTCGAATTCCCGGCCTGCACACAACTCTACTGACTTGGACCCATTTAAATTCCGCTGGTTGATCCCCATCTCCGCGCTTCAAGTCAGACTGGGGAATCCAGCAGGTAACTGTTTCGTGCAGTATGATGCCAGAAAAAGCATTTTAGTAGACTTAACTGTGGAATGTAAATTAAGAAAGGACCTTGGGGATAATTTTTGGTGCCTTTTATTTTATAGACAAGGAAAATGAGGACAAGAGAGGTTGTTTTGATGTTCCTTAGCAGACTTCTGGGAGAAACTAAATGCTGGTGGATAGCTTTTTCTTTGCCAAATGCCTTTCATTGTTTCCTTATTTTCCCTATCAATAGTTTTCAACATTTTCCTTTCTGCCTTGATACCCTAAAATGTGTTAGAAGAACAAAGATCCACAAATTTATGTTTTTACAAATTTAGAATATAGCAGAAAATTCCTTAAGGTTAGGTAGTACTGTAGGTGATATAAAAAGAAAAAAATCTTTGACTCTGGAAAATGTTCAGAGATCCTTCCAGAGTAACCTTGTTTTGGTGACAGGTATCTGGTGACAGAAGAGGCCAGCAGGCTGAGTCATGCAGTGACCTGCTGGGCTTCTGTTTAACTTTTGTCAGAAGTGCTTATGTTTTCGAGAAAATGACCACATTTGGGGCAGGCCTCTTTTACCTCAAGTACCCCAGCTCCTGTTCCTTCCAAGGAAAGGGCAAAACTGCAAAGGAGGTTGAAGAATAGGATCCACTGAATCTCCTCTTCCCCAGAGAGGGGCTCCAGAGAGAGGGTGAAGGCAGTTCAGATGGAGGAAAATCTGCAGCAGGAAATGTAAAAAGTAACCAAAAGGCATTTCAGTTCTTGTAACTGTGAAAATCATACATAGAACAAGCCACAGAAGAAAATGAGCCAGGACTGGGAATATTAGACTTTCTTAACTGATGAGATTTCAACTTTACAAGTGTTCTTAACCACAGCATTTTGGGCAAAGTTGTAGACTCTTGTTTCCATTTCCTTTTACATAGGGACAGAAAATAATTCCATATGGGAACTGATCCATACGAAGTCAGAAATAGAAGGACGGCCAGAAACCATCTTTCAGTTGTGTTGCAGGTATGACTGACTTCCAAAGATTAAAACCAACAGAAATAACATAGAATTATGTCTCTTAAGGGAATTTATATTTAGTGCCCTCCTGAATTTTGATGATATCAGGGTCATACTCCCCACCCTCCGAAAAAGGCAACTGAGGCCGCTAGTAGGAGACTATGTTGATTAAATAAATATCAAAATCTTAAGAGTGATCAATTCTCACCTCCTTCTGTACGGGAGGCCACATGGCACTGCTGCTGGGTGGCTGGCTGGCAGCCTGGTCCAGCAGGTGCAAGGCACAGGAACACAGGCGGGCGTGGAATGGAAGCACGATGAACACTGTGGACACTTCTGCTGTTTTCTCTCCCCCCCCACCCAGTGACAGTGAAAGCAAAACCAACATTGTTAAGGTGATTCGTTCTATTCTGAGGGAGAACTTCAGGCGTCACATAAAGTGTGAATTACCACTGGAGAAAACGTGTAAGGATCGCCTGGTACCTCTTAAGAACCGAGTTCCTGTTTCGGCCAAATTAGGTGAGAATTTTGCTAGCCTTGTGTTTATTCAACAAAATATTATGAGCTTCTGAAAAGGATATATGCTCTTGTAACATAGCTGTGACTTTTCACTTTGTAAGTCATCGAGGTACCTTTATCTCCTTTTAAGAAACCTAAACATGCCTCTTGCTCCCAGACGTTCTACTGTAAAATACAGCCACCCCCAACCCCCAGTCCCTTGTCTTCCTACCCGCTGACATAGTCCAAATGTACGATTTTGTTTCTTCCACTAAGATGTGCATGGGTCCAGGGACTTTGTTTTCCTCACTGCTGTATTCCCAGTGCTCAGAACAGTGCCAGGCATCCTGAAGGTCAATGCTGAATGAAGATCAAGAACCTTACACAGAGGGTCTCCACCTTCTGATGGTTCAACCTACAATTTTTCGACTTTACCGTGGTGTGAAAGTGACACACATTCAGTAGAAATCGTACTTCGAGTACCCAGACAACCATTCTGTTTTTTGCTTCTAGTGCAGCATTCAATACATTTCATGAGATACTCAACACTTAATTATAAAACAGGCCTTGTGTTCTGCCCAACCATAGGCTAATGTAAGTGTTCTGAGCACACTGAAGGCAGGCTAGGCTAAGCCGCAGTGGTTAGTAGGTACATTAAATGCATTCTCGACTTTCCATATTATCAACTTAACAATGGGTTGATTGGGATGTAATGCCATCTAAGTTAAGGGGCCTCTTATACTCGTTCTTAATCGATAGGGCACCAAGTAAGCATTTCAAATCACGTTGTTCTTTCTGCTTGTTTCTAAAATTTCAGCTTAAGTTTTCAGAACCTTATTTCTACATTAACTATTTTGTTATTATCTTTCTTGTTTTTAGGCTTAGAAAATGTAAAACTTCGCTTTTTCATGTCAAATCAGTGTGACCTCTTCAGATCTACCACATATTTACTATTTTCTCCATTGTCAAAATAAACTGGCCATCAAAATAACATGCTGTTATTACTTTGTAGAAACACCAAAACTGAGAACTCCCTTCCTTCTTTCAATCCAAGAGAACAGAACTACACACACACACACACACACCTATAACATAAAATTTCAGAAAGTTGTTTTGAAATTCCAGCAGAGACAGTTCTCATATGAGAGATAAAGAGCATTTTCTAGGCTGGGCATGGTGGCTCATGCCTGTAATCCCAGCACTTTGGGAGGCCAAGGCAGGTGGATCCCTTGAGCTCTTGAGAACAGGAGTTTGAGACCAACCTGGGCAACATGGCAAAACCCCATCTCTACAAAAAAAATATAAAAATTAGCCAGGCGTGATCATGCGCACCTATAGTCCCAACTACTCAGGAGGCTGAGATGGGAGGATCACTTGAGCCCAGGAGGCGGAGGTTGCAGTGAGCAGAGATCACACCACTGCACTCCAGCCTGGGTGGCAGAGCAAGACACTGTCTTTAAAAAAAAAGGGGGGGGGAGGGGCATTTTCTACTTTTAATTGAGCAGCAAGGGAAATCCACAAGGTGAGAAGATGCATAGGAATATGGTGTGATCTTCATGATCAAATTACAAAGCACCTTAGTGAAAGAAAGGAGCCTAGATTTATTATTACCAATTAACTTTTCAACTTACTCCTTGGCAAAATAAGAATCTTAGCCCATGTAGTAGTTTCTAGTGTCTAGTTCTATTTACATAATTGAGCTCTGGTAATCTAAAAATGCTGAATTGCCTAACTTACAACTGTAAACCTAAGTCAAAAATGTCCATGTTTTCAGTAGCTACATTTTTGCCTAATTACCAGGATAGTTGCTAACTGAAGTCATATCATAAAATAAAATCTTAATGTTAAATCTTACACAAGCTTTGAGGCAAACATTACACATTGTGTAACCTGTTTCTGTATCACAGCGAAATGTGTTTTTCTCACTGTAGCTTCATCCAGGTCTTTAAAAGTCCTGAAGAATTCCTCCAGCAACGAGTGGACCGGTGAGACTGGCAAGGGAACCTTGCTGGACTCTGACGAGGGCAGCTTGAGCAGCGGCACCCAGAGCAGCGGCTGCCCCACGGCTGAGGGCAGGCAGGACTCCAAGAGCACTTCTCCCGGGAAATACCCACACCCCGGCTTGGCAGATTTTGCCGACAATCTCATCAAAGAGAGTGACATCCTGAGCGATGAAGATGATGACCACCGTCAGACTGTGAAGCAGGGCAGCCCTACTAAAGACATCGAAATTCAGTTCCAGAGACTGAGGATTTCCGAGGACCCAGACGTTCACCCCGAGGCTGAGCAGCAGCCTGGCCCGGAGTCGGGTGAGGGTCAGAAAGGAGGAGAGCAGCCCAAACTGGTCCGGGGGCACTTCTGCCCCATTAAACGAAAAGCCAACAGCACCAAGAGGGACAGAGGAACTTTGCTCAAGGCGCAGATCCGTCACCAGTCCCTTGACAGTCAGTCTGAAAATGCCACCATCGACCTAAATTCTGTTCTAGAGCGAGAATTCAGTGTCCAGAGTTTAACATCTGTTGTCAGTGAGGAGTGTTTTTATGAAACAGAGAGCCACGGAAAATCATAGTATGATTCAATCCAGATATGGGTTAAATTCCTCATTTTACTTTTAAACTGGTGGTAAAGTGGAAATTGCAAAAAAAAAAAAAAAAAAAAACTGTTCATTCCTGGGTTTTGTGCAGTATACATTTTCCCACAAAATGGTTGTAAAGATTTAAGTTATTTTAATTTATTGTGGATCAGAAACCTAGATGAAACTGGTCAGAATCTGTAAATTACTTAGTTTATATCCACTTTGAGCAGGTATCAAATGATTTAGGATCCTTAAAATTACATTCTAATAATTAAGTTATGTGGAAAAAGTAAGGCTGGGGAAGTCGTGATTAATAGTTTTCAAAGGGCCATTTTTTAAAATCCTCTGGGCATTTTCTTTCAGCTGTTTGTTAGTTTTTGCTTTATTTAAAGCATATTTAAGTTATTTTAATGTGGTTTAGGGGCAAAATGTGCAGATACTTCATTTTTGTAAGATAGATTGTAATAGATGCTGTTTATACTAAACATGTCATAACTATCTATACAGTATATATTAAAAGAAAGCTTGTACTGTATCTTATTTGATGATATTTATTTTCTCTGCCAAGCTGTATAGTAAAAGGAAAATAAGTCACATCTGGTCATTGGCATTTGTATCGTCATTCTGTAAAGACAAAAGAGTACCTATATAAGAAGCTCCACGTAGTGCAAATCGACATCTGGTAGGCTGCTCGCCCCCAGGCAGCAGCTAGAGTCTGTAATTCTCTGCGTCATCCTCTTCTTTTTCTTCATTTTTGCTTTTTCTTCGCTTGAGTTCTTCTCTGAAATTATATGCAAAGAGTTGTGGGTCTTCATCACACATTTTTCTGTATACATCACAGAGGCTCTTAAAGTGTGAGATGGAGAGCTGGCGGGGCCGAAGAGTAGGGTCTATGTCTGCCAACTCTAACAGCCTGCCCGTGCTTTCCAAGCGCTGCGCTTCAGGGAATAACATTCTGAGGGGAAGACAGACAGACAGAAAAATAAGAATTTTACTTAAATTCTGCAAATCATGACACTTTTTAACCCTCATTTGAAAACAACACAACACAGTTGCTGGCTACTGACAGCTGGAGAGAGTGGCAGGAGCCTCTTGGATTATATAGCACCAGATAAGAGGCACGGCCCGCCACTGAGGCAGCTCTAACCTGAGGCGCGAGGCAAGCACACAATGGGAAAGCATTCTCCAAAGCTAAATCAGTACATGTACTTTTTAAAGGTAAGTAAGTAAGTTTAAAGTAACATCTGCTCAGCTGCATTCTTGTAGAAACATAAGCTTGATGTGCCTCATGTTTCAATGTGAAAGTTGTATTATTTCTTGTGTGACAAATCATCAGTTTTGATTCTCTAGAATTTGAATGTATCAGCCTTTAGAACTCTTCACGCTAAAAGAGTTACTTTTTTTTGCTAAAAGTTTGAAAATAGCTGATAGGAAAATATAATTATTCCTCTTGTTATTTTTCAAGCATCTTTAAAACTGATTTGAAGTAGAGGATATATTTTAAATTTCATCTATCCAAATTGAACCATTGTTTTAAAATGAATAGCAGAACTGCTTGAAATGCTGCGGAGTTAGGCCTGGATTGCATTTTTCTTCAAGTCTCAGGGCTCTTACAGAGCTCATCCCAAGGGGCTTGGAAGGTGTCATGGCCAGGGGAGATAGATAGCATGTTGCTTATAGGCTGATGGTCCTTTCAACAAGGAATTGCATGTCCCCCACACTTTCAGGGTGAGGTGACAGATCTTTGAGTTCAGTTTCATGGCAAAGAGGGCCTGATGATGGCAGTTTCTAATATCTGAAGAACACCAATAAGTCAAAGTCCTTTGACCTGTTACCCTGGGTGGCACAGTATCTGGTCCATGTCTGTCCTGAGGATGGTGTATCTGAAATGAATAGGGCCCTTCACTTAGCTGGGGGGTTGCCTTGGAAACGCTAGTGCCAGCTCTAGGCTCAGACCAATTCCAGGATTTCCAAAAGCACATAAAAGGACATAGTTTTGTGCTCCCTCCTCCCCCATGAATCAGGGCTATCAGGTACAGCTGTGTGGGTCCTGCTCTGCGTGAGGGGTAAGTGTGAGCCAAAATCCAGCTTCTGTTTCACTCACCAGCAGTGCACAGTAGCTGGGGGCTGCAGCCAAAATGGCTGGCCAGTGGCATCTCTGTCACCAGCTCTGCACCTTAAGTCTCTGCTAGAGAAGCAGGAACTATCTGGTAAGGTGGGAATTCTGGCTTAATTAGAGGCAACAAGTGGCAGGCTGAGGCTCCAGCTTCTGCCATCTGGCATCCTCAGCAATGGGCTTTGTGGACTGCAGCACTCTTAGGAGCTGATGCCCAGCTGGCCCCTAAAATAATCTGCTGTCATTTCATATGCTAAAGGGACACTTCGGACCTTGTGAAAGAGAGAATTACAATGAAGCCATGTGAGGAGGTTTTAGAAAATGAGAAATATGTGCCTCTCACGCCGAGCCTCTTTAAACAGCGGACTATGGATAGATTATCGTAGATGGAAATCTTTTACAAATACACTTTCCTGCCTTCTTAAGCAGACTATCACTGGGCTTAACTAAACAGCTTCTTGGCTCTTTCTGGATCTGCAACAAGGCTGTGGTCCTTCAGAGCCCATCGAGGTGGGCGACCTCTAGACCACCAGGCCCTGTCAGGTTTTCCCAGTGATTCCTGAGAGCCTCTTGGCAGCAGCAGCTTTCTGTGAGATGGAAACGTGCTTACGTGAGGACTTCGTGATATGATTTTGGCTGCTCAGAAGTCATATTTGCTTCCTAGTTCTCAAGTGTGTCCTTAAAGAAGAGATAGGGCAACTCGGTAGAAAGCAAGCATTTAAAAAACCCATTATTATCTGTCTTGAGTCCTCACTGGGGAACCACGAGCTCCCTGGTACAGAGCCTCTGTGAGCTGTGCAGTCACCAACTCCAGGCTGCGCTTATGTTTAAGCCACCCTGAGAGAGGCCACCTGAGGTCTAGCAAGTCTTTGCTCTCTCCTCATTGGCAGTGAAGTCTTGTCCGTCACAGGCCTGAACTAAGTGTAATACTCAGAGCTTTAAGAATAGAGCAAACAAGGTTCTCACTCTTAAAAAGTGCCTGAGGATTTTATAAAGACTGCAACTGAAGAGAAGAAAAGGCATTCTTACCTGAGCCCTCGATGGCAGTATTTCCTTCGGAACTGAAATACATTCTGAACCACTTTTTCCACCAGCTTGAATGGCTGCTCTATCTTGGGCTGTATCAAGGGAGTGAAGTGCACCACGCCCACGTCCACCTTCGTTGTAAGCAAACATATTATCATTCTGTGGCATGATATGTGGCATAGTGTGATCAATCAACTCATCCTTGTAAAACAGGAGGATGGGCTGTCAACAGCCTGTTTTCATAAACAGACCTTTCCACGTACTTCGGTTTCATCTCTAGGCATGGAAGATGGTACATTCTGGATTCGCAAATGACATGGAGAAATCAGCCGGCTGCACCTGTTCTCTAATGACATCCACCAGACCTGTGCTTGATGGTCACTTAATTTTAAAACACAGTTTCACAATGGCTTAAAAATCAATCCAAATCATTAAAGTCAGTCAGCAGATAATAGATGGCATTAGAATATTTTAGTTTTTGAATGAGGAAAAAAATAAGCCGCAGCAGCAGCTTCAAGACACAGAGAGATGGCAGACAGGCCCCCAGGGACCACTCAGTGCTAAACTTCCCAGATAGAGACACCACTTATTTTCGGTAGACACTGATTAATCAGCTGGACTGAATTCATGAGTGTAGTCTGAAAAGCCACAGAACTTTCTAGTAGCAATTTTAAATGCCCCGAAAGGCATAGGCAGGACTGAAATTGAAAATGGAAACCATCAAAAAATGTCACTGTTTGATAGTGTTTAAGCTACTGCCAGCTGTGGAGATTCTTTAATTGTCAGAAGATAAAACTTTTCAGGCATATCTTATAAGAGATTTATACCCTGATTTGTTCCAAAAATGGACTCATGGTGATTCACAAGGACAAATTCAAATACCAAAGGAAAAACATTTAAAGACAGAGGGAAATGGATTCAAAACAGTAACTACACACACAAAAATGCTAACGGAGACCATGGTCTAGGAAATGGGAAGTCTCGTCATAATTGACAAAAGCCTCAGTCTCCAGGAATTGTTAAACTTGTTAATGAGGATCTCATACAGACTCAACAAAAGGCGAAGAAAGTACGGCAATTTAGGAGGTGTGGGCTGCACCACTGCTTTTCAAAAGGAACTCCATTGTTGAAATCCCATAGAGGTTGTCATTTTCTCCTAAGAGGACTTGCTTCTAAAGATCCTTGTGGCTACATAATTCCTTAAACAGATGAAAATGGGAGACTGGCTTTTCTGGTTGTGTTTCTTTTAGGGTAGAAGGAAAACAACTGAATATGATGTGAGACTTTATGGACAAGAAAGTGAAAATAAGCTGTGCTCAGCCTCACACAGCCTGACGCGCTTGTGGGAGGTGCCTGTGGTGCCTGAGCTGTGTCATCAAGGCCCCGGACCCCTGAGAGCTTGCACCTCCCTATTTAAACAATCAATGAGCCTGTCCCCGAAGGTTTCAGGTCAGCTACAGCTGCTCCTACTGGATGGAATGGGAAATAGAAGGCTTTGGTGGTAAGGGGCGGTGTGGGCTGGCGCATGCTGAGAATGTGCCAAGCGGCCTTTCCACACCCCAAATGCCCACCCCCAACATCCATCAGCCTTCTTGTGAAGTCCAGCAGGCTGTTCTTGTGAAGATTCTATGGTGGAACAGTAGTTATGAACAGTGACTTAACTAAGATGTCAAATGCTCTTAATAAATTTTAGTAAGTTTTTTGAATTGTGTGCTATATGTTGTTTCATGTTTCCTCAAGTTTAGTAACAACTACCTCTTCCTACAGGACTTCCCTTAGACTTTAACAAAACGCACCATAGAACAGTGCCCAGCTTGGAGAGGTCTGTGGTCATCAGGGAAAGAGGGACTGAAGAAGACAAGGGGCTGTGGAGTGGATGCAGGGTGTAGGTGGGGTAGATGTACTGCTATAGGGAGAGAAGAAAGGTGGTTTCAGCTCAGGGCAGTTCTGGGGAAGGAAAAAGAAGACCTGATCTATGAATGGCAGAGTGCAGGCAGCAGCCCAAGACACACTCCACTGACTTCAGATGTCAGGTTCCTTCCCACAAACTCTGAACTATCCTGCCTACCTCGCCTCCTCCTGATTTGTATAGAGAAGTGGTCCCAACTGTCAGGCATGTGTCTGGCCACTCTCTACACCTCGCCAGCCTTCTCTCACTGGACTCTCCATTTCCCTTTCATCCCCTGAGCTTCCTGGCACCCTTGTCCCTGCCTCCCGTTCTCCAGGACTCATCTCCTGTAACCCTTCAACTCCAGTTCTCCCAGTGACAAAGAGCCAATTCTATCAATTCTTACTAGCAGCCTGCTAGTCTCCAGAAGAAATACTCTTAGCAAAATCTGAGATAAAATCTAATCCCTGCCTAGGCCTAAAACCATGAAATATTATCAAAACTCTACATAAGGCTTACAAACTATTAAGACCAAAAGCACAAATACAGAGATAGATGCACTCTCTTCCAGTACAGAAACTGCCACTTTCAGCTTCCTTAGATTTTAAATTTTGGCCTCATCTTTATTTGCCTGATTTCATTCCTTTGAGATATAGTTGGTATTTGCAAATACAGGAAGTGTCTAACTTTTGCTTGATTTAAATAAAGTTTTAAAACCCTGAACAAATATAGTAGTACCCCATGTAAACTATAGCGTCGACTTCTAAAGTTTGAATACAATTCCAATACTCTGTTAAGTTGGCTTATATTATGTCACGGCTAAAAGAGAATTCCCCTCACAAATGCAGTTACTATTTAGTGGGAGATTCTGTAAAACTCAGCGTCAACAAAGCTCTTCCAGTTATGTCTCCTGCTTCTGGGACGGCCAGGACCTCTCCTGTACCACCCCTTCCTCTCCCTTTCCCCCAAAGGCACCTTTCAGAATTACTCTGAATGATGGAGCCCATTTTTTTCTAGAACTATAGGAAAGCTGCTTGGTAACTATGGTAACGAATACAAAAATGTTTTTTACTTATAATTGAATGCTTATTTAAAATTACAAGTATTATTTTTTCTTCCTTGAGTTTTAAGTCTATTAATGGGTTTGATTACAAAAAAGAAATCAGTACAAAGGCATCAGAAGTACTTAAAATATTCTAGTTTAATGCCGCCAGCCTTTTCCAAACTCAGTCCATCAGTATACCAAAATGACCTACTAAAATTTCAAATGAAAGGATTTAAAATGAATTTAAATATTTGCCTTTCTAACCCTATACGTCAACGCTGTAACAAGCTAAGACTGTTTCTCAGTGTTAGCAGCCTTGGCCATAACAGGCCCGAGGCAGATGTCCTAGTTTCCAGGCCAGGGTGTCTAGGACGTGACTGGTTATCAGCTCAGAGCAGCACTTGGAACTCACAAGGGACCCGGGCTAAGGAGATATTAAATCTTAAATCTTAGATATTAGATATTACAACTGAGAACTGTAATCAACATGATATACAGAGGACACTGAAGAGACGTACAACTCAGTTCCTGATGATTATCATATGCCCAAAAGCTAAGTCACGACCACATGCACAGACACAGAAACAATGCTGGCCACTGTCTACAAAAGGGTCTTCATTCAACACTCTCACGGTGTTCAAGACCATTAGAGGACAAGATAGTGGAGATGAAAAAATGATGAGGAAGTTACTATGTAAATAGCCAAGACACAGCCATAACTTAAGACAACAGAAGGGCTAGTGAAAAAAAAAAAAAAGACCACAGGGAATAATCAGTAAGACTTTAAAGAACAACATATAAGAAGGATTCAAAGTTCGAAGTGGGATGATCACGGGCAGACCTGGGTGGTTGGGAACAGGAAGCATATGGCATCTTGCAGGCTATAGGCACCACAAAATGGAACGCAGGAGGACAGGGGCTTGGGAGAGCCACTTCACTGTCGGGTAAAACAACGGAGCAAGATGAGTGCCTCCGGATGCTTGGTTTCCCCACCCTCCAGTGTCTGCTTGCTCTTCAAGTACCTCCACCAAGCTAATGACAGTCCACTTTAGGACATCACGGGCCTCGAGGTTACAACTTTCCCAGGTAAGGAGAATCCCAGGTAGAGGCAGCAAGTCACTGATGCCTGTGATATGATAATTATGCATGTCATAGAAAAAGAAAATACTGACAAATGTGAATGTAGATCACATTTTCTGGAATTGGTTCACTCTACCTGTGATCCATGTCCAAAAGCCAATTTAAGGAAAGAATTTCCACTGTAAAACCTTAAAGCTGACAGCATTCTAAGTATTTCAAACCAACTGGTTCAATAAAGATCAACTACACGGTCAGTACCTATCCTAAAGTTTACAATTTGTGTTATTGTAACAATATTTATTTCTGCAGAAGTTCTGTCCTCACCCTTTTTTCTTCCTACAGATCTTTGTTTTTTTCTCTTTCTTCTTGGGATCATAAAAAAAGAACAGATTTTAAACAGTCACATAGTGTTTCCTCTCAGAGCAGATGTGGTAGGAAGAACTGAGGCCAAGAGAATGACAGCAAACTCAGATCACAAGAGAAATAAGACTAAGAAATGTGGTGAGGGGGATGAAGAGTTTTTTTACTGTGTAAATTATGTAAATGTACATATGTATGTATGTAAATTACACCTATTAGTAATAACAACAACAAGATGAGTCAGTGTCTCTTGGTCCCAAGAGATTAAACAATTTCAGGGAGATGCACGTGTAATCCTCAAGAAAGCACAAATGGAACAAGAACTGACAATTGTTGTATAAAGGTTTTCTGTTACATTTAATCTGGAGTTCCTGGATGATCAGAGGGAAAAGACCTTCCTAAAACTAGGCCTTTTCCAC
This sequence comes from Homo sapiens, assembly GCF_000001405.40. Lineage (NCBI taxonomy): Eukaryota > Metazoa > Chordata > Mammalia > Primates > Hominidae > Homo > Homo sapiens. The sequence continues at coordinate 155,265,062 of NC_000006.12, forward strand.
AAACCACGCCCTTGGTGTCTGTGAAGCAGCAGCATCTGGACGTGCCCTGTGTTTCCTGTCCCGGGCTGTGCTCCCGCTTGGGTTTGTGGATGTGGCAGGAGCTGCCTGAGGCAGCTTCGAGGCTGCCCAGCCGGGCCATGGGTGTGGCAGCACATTGGCAACTGCCAGGGTCTGGACCCCAGCGCTGCAGGTCCTGAGCAACTCCCGTCCCTCAGAGAGAAGACAGGACCTCAGAGAGGCTCTCAATCTAAACAAACTCAGAAGGCACTTGATAAATGCTGCTAGTAATATTATTAAAAGACTGAGAAATAGAACATGCATACAAATATAGTAATTCATAATAAACCATAATTATCAAACGGACTAGACATCACACTGAAGATGCTTGGTCAGTACATTCGTATATTCATAGCTGATACTGTTAATTTCCTAAGGCTGGGACAGAAGAAGAACATTATTTTAGGATTAGGTCAAATCACTTTAAATTTGTAGGGCTGGAACAGGTAACTATTTTATCTTACTCTGAACTGTCATTATTTTCAAGATTGAATGGAAAGCAAAGAAGAAAAAACATTTGTATTAGGGTTCTCTAGAGGGACAGAACTAATGGAATATATATATATGAGTTTATTAAATATAAATATTAAATATATTTATATATAATATAAATATATATTATATATAATATATAATATATATTTAATATATAATATGTAAATATTAAATATATATATAAAGAAGAGTTTATTAAGTATTAACTCACATGATCACAAGGTCCCACAATAGGCCATCTGCAGGCTGAGAAGCAAGGAGAGCCAGTCCAAGTTCCAAAACTGAAGAACTTGGGAGTCCAATGTTTGAGGATAGGAAGCATCCAGCACGTGAGAAAAGATGTGGGCTGGGAGGCTAAGCCAGTCTCTCTTTTCACATTTTTCTGCCCACTTATATTCTAGCTGAGCCGGCAGCTGATTAGATGGTGCCCACCCAGATTGAGGGCGGGTCTACCTTCCCCACCTCACTGACTCAAATGTTAATCTCCTTTGACAACACCCTCACAGATACACCCAGGATCAATACTTTGTATCCTTCAATCCAATCAAGTTGACACTCAGTGTTAACCATCACAACATTTTTTTTAAAATTCAGAACCCCAACTTTTCATTAGAATTAAATGGACAGCATTTGAAAAATACAAGGATGGGGCTCCATCCCAGAAAATTAAATAAAAGCCACTGGGTTGGGCCTGAGCCTCTTGGGGCTTTTCCAAAGCCCTCGTGTGGGCAGAAATGAGAATCACAGGTTTGGGGAACAATCCTAGTTGCTTGGGAAAGTATCACACAGTCAACTCAAATCCTGGAGATTAAATTCACTAGAAGTGCAGCTAGAGCCCTGTGACACCCACAAAGCCAGCCTGAGTCCCTGCTGGATACAGCTCACCAGGGGGGATGAAAAGCCAGATACAAACTTCCCCAGTCTCGCTCACAGTTAAGAATGACCAAATGAGGCTGGGCGCTGTGGCTCACACCTGTAATCCCAGCACTTTGGAAGGCCAAAGCGGGCGAATCATGAGGTCAGGAGATCGAGACCATCCTGGCTAACACGGTGAAACCCCGTCTCTACTAAAAAATACAAAAAATTAGCCAGGCGTGGTGGCGGCCGCCTGTAGTCCCCGCTACTTGGGAGGCTGAGGCAGGAGAATGGCGTGAGCCTGGGAGGCGGAGCTTGCAGTGAGCTGAGATCGTGCCACTGCACTCCAGGGTGGGCGACAGAGCGAGACTCCGTCTCAAAAAAAAAAAAAAAAAAAAAAAAAAGAATGACCAAATGAGCCAGTTCTGGAAAGTGAGACATTAAAGCATAGTCTGGGGTGGTGGTGGGAGAGGGGAAGAGAACTCTAGAATACTTTGCTGCCTTTTTTTTTTTTTTTTTGAGACAGAGTCTCACTCTATCGCCCAGGCTGGAGTGCAGTGCAGTGGCATGATCTCGGCTCACTGCAACCTCCACCTCCTGGGTTCAAGCAATTCTCGTGTCTCAGCCTCCTGAGTAGCTGGAAATACAGGTGGGTGGCACCACACCCGGCCAATTTTTGTATTTTTAATAGAGACTGGGTTTCACCATGTTGGCCAGGCTGGTCTCAAACTTCTGGCCGCAAGCAATCCACCTGCCTTGGCCTCCCAAAGTGTTGGGATTATGGGCATGAGCCACCACACCTGGCCGTAGAATATGGTGCTTCTTGATGAAAGGGTCAGCTGAGGCAGCCATCTCATAGCTGTTGAAGTAAACCTAAAATATAGAGACAAATCTCCAAATTCAATGTTTTATTTGGGAAGCAAGAATTGTAAATTAGGGCCTACACACAGACCAGGTGGTCTTCAGTATGTCCAAAGAACAAAAGGAAGGTTGGGAGTTTTATTAGAGAAATGTTATGTGTTGTTTTGAAAGAAAGCTCATTGGCACTAGAGAAGCTTTTGGGTGTGGACAAGCTCTGATTGGTGAGTGACGACAGCAGGTAAAACCAGTCTTAGAGTCACAGTAGGTGGTCCCAGCAGCTACTAGCTAAAACTGGTCTTGGTGTTACAGCAGGCCATTTCAGCAGCTAGGCTTATAGAAAGTGTAAATTTTGGAGCAGGTGCGACAGTGCTATGTGCCCTGAGTGCTTTTTCCTCCTGGCCCCTTGACTCTGATTTAGTTGGGTAAGACAAGAATGACCTAATTTGTATAATCAACCTTCACACAGCCAAGAAAAGTTCAGTTTGAAGGAACAGAAAAACAGAATGAGCTGGAATACTTAAGAAGAGTTTTAAATTGCAGAACTAACCTTGAACAGTACTGACTTTCAAACAATGAGTCCTTATAGTTTAGTCTACTGTTAGATTTTTCTGTAATTTGTCCACTGAAACATCTGAAACCAATACAAGCCCAAAGCCCCTTCTACAAATTTGTTTTCAAAATGTAGACAGGAAATTTTGGGTTCTTTTTACAGACCGAAGATGCCCTTGACTACATTATATATATTTAATTATATTTCCAGAATTTATGAACACCCTTTATCTTGAATCCATTTCCTATGCAATATCTCTACTCATCTAGTTATTTCCATTTAATCGCTCCCATTACCACAGCCTCCCAGAGTCTGTCTGTCTCCAATTCTGATCTCTTTAAATCCTCCACACCATAGCCAAGTGCTCTTAAACCACAAATTCCACCACAAAAAAACACTCTGATGGTTCACACTGCCTCTAGTGGTGGCCTTCAAACTCCTTCTTGAAGAAAATGTCAGCCACCAAAGTGTTTCCCCTTAACCCTGATCCCCAGGCTTCTTTGATTAGGGTAGAGGTCTCTCTCATAAGCCTGTTACTGTGATCCAGTGATGAGAAGATGGAGTGCAATGCTTTATAAACTGTTAAGCTCTATGAAAAGGTGTGGTATTGTTATTTCCAAAATACTCAGTTAAATTACTGATTCTTTCAGAAAGACAATAAAAGCCTACCTGAACATCCAGATTAACATCACTAAGCAACACCACACACTAAGGGAAGCTAAAGTAATTTCTGCTTAAAGATAAATGAAAACATGATCTGTGACCTTACCCCCAACCCGGTGCTCTCTGAAACATGTGCTGTGTCCACTCAGGGTTAAGTGGATTAAGGGCGGTGCAAGATGTGCTTTGTTAAACAGATGCTTGAAGGCAGCATGCTTGCTAAGAGTCATCACCACTCCCTAATCTCAAGTACCCAGGGACACAAACACTGCGGAAGGCCGCAGGGTCCTCTGCCTAGGAAAACCAGAGACCTTTGTTCACTTGTTTATCTGCTGACCTTCCCTCCACTATTGTCCTATGACCCTGCCAAATCCCCCTCTGCGAGAAACACCCAAGAATGATCAATTAAAAAAAAAAAAAAGAAAAAAGAAAAAAAATTAAAAAATTAAAAAAAAAAAAAAGATAAATGAAAACATTCTAAAGAAGAAAGATGGACTGCAATCACTCAACCCACAGTGGACTTTGCAGGACTGAGAAGTAAATGCTGATATGTAAAGCTACAGAGATTTCTGGGTTAATTTGTTTCCATAGCTTATAAACTACCAAGAGAGGTAGGACTTACAAATATGCTCTTTTCTAATTAGAGGTGGGGCAATGCTATGTAGTATGTCAGGGTTTCAAAAATCATTGTTTTGGGACTCAACCCCATTCCTGCAATTTACTCATTTTATGGCCTTAGTCAAAAGTTACTTCTCTGTAGCTTAGTTTTCTTTTCTTTTCTTTTCTTTTTTTTTTTTTTTGAGATGGAGTCTCGCTCTGTCACCCAGGCTGGAGTGCTATGACACGATCTTGGCTCAATGCAACTTCCGTCTGCTGGGTTCAAGCGATTCTCTTGCCTCAGCCTCCCGAGAAGCTGGGGCTAATGGCATGTGCCACTACGCCTGGCTAATTTTTGTATTTTTAGTAGAGGCAAGGTTTCACCATGTTGGCCAGGCTGCTCTTGAATTCCTGACCTCAGGCGATCCGCCTGCCTCAGCCTCCCAAAGTGTTGGGATTACAGGTGTGAGCCACCACGCCCGGCCAGTTTTCTTGTCTATAAAATTCTTCTTATCTGCTAGGTTTGTCTTGAGAATTAAGTATTATAGCACCTTAAACAGTACCTGGCATATGGAAAGCAGGTTATAAATGGTAGATAATGTTATTAGCAAGATGACAAACTAGAGTTCCAAAATTACTTAAAATTCTAGTCCTGCTTAGAAATAAAATTGTATTTTTAATCATTCAAGTGCAATTTATAGTTTAACATTATATACTTAAAGTCAGTTTCTGAATTCATTCATTGGGCAAATATTTATTGTATCCCTACTATGTGCCAGGCACTGATCCTGGCACAGGAGAATCAGTGATGAACGAAACAGAGAGAAGTGCTTGCCCTGTGGGGCTGAACTTCTACCTCAGAGGTCTTGCGCTACAGTGGAAGCAGAAGAGGAGCTCAGAGGTGGAAGGTTCTTGTTCTAGTCTGAAGTCAGAAACAAAACAACTTGTTGACTCAAGGGATGTTGGGTATGGAATCAGGGATTACTTTTAAGATCTCAGGCGGCCAAATGGAAGGAAGGATTTGCCACTAATGAACCTGGGAAGACCGTGGGGAGAACAGTTTGGGAATGGTCAGGAATTCAGTTTTGTGCCATGACAGGTCTGAGCTATCCATCAGTGACGCCAAGTCAGCAGACAGAAACACAACTTGGGAGTTCAGGGGAGAGGGCTGGGCAAGAGATTTAAGCTGAGGGGTCATAAGACTTACCTAGGAGAGTCTCTGGACTTAAAAGATTAATATCCCTTTAATGTCCACATCAGAAGTGGATAGTAATGTTGATAAACTATATTTCTATTTACACTTCTACTTTCCTAGCTCCTTTTTTATATAAGAAATTCTGCCTTCATTAAAGGTCTATAGCTAACGAAAGTTGCTTCCAGTTCAGAAGTTTTCCTTCTAAAGCAGGCAATTAATATTTTATAGGATTATTGTTTTCATCAAGGCAAAAAAATAATCAACATGTTTTGAGAATAGAAATGTACATTAAATGTACATTAAAGCATGCTTAACCCATTTATCCTCCAGCCAGCTTCCTTATGCTAGAGGTTAGAGTGGGGAGCAGCCGGGTCCCTCCATCTGCCATCAGTCAGCCTCACAAAGCTTATGTCTGCACTAACAACCATGGCGACCAGCGAAACAAGCCAGGACGCTGGAGGGCCCTGGTGAGGTGTCTTCGGATGCAGCACTAATGACACTGCTGCGACTATTAGTGTCTGCAATTCAACTCAACTTCTTCCAGTATTTATTTATGCACTGAATTGTTTGTATTTCCCATGAAATAAAATCAAAGAACAAAGCCAGTACACATAAAGCTTACAACGACTTAGAGAGCTAAGACTTAACATGTAATCAATACTATGGCTGAAAAGCAAACCCACAGATGTTAGACTTAGAAAAGAGGAAAAAGAGTATCTTGCTCAATGCAAAACTTAGGATTAAAACAAACCAAAACAAAAAATCCAGATAACCGAAACATGTGTTTGTTTATTTACTACTTTTAAAGAAATGATTAAAGTCTAACATGGTTATTAACAGTTGTTAAATTTAAAAATCCAATAATAAAATTATCTTCTTTCTGTATAATGGCTATGAATTTATAGCTTGTAGAATAAAACTTACTGAGGAAGAAAAAAATGAGAACCCAAAAGGATGGCAGTGAAATCCATCTGTACCATTATTCATGGGCTACAACCTCAGTATCTGATCACAGTCTTATCTGATGTGTCTCATCACATCATTTTGGGTAATTTATTCATAACATTTCCTGAATCTCTATAGTTATACTCCACAAATCTAAGTGGAAGCAATAACAAGAAAACTCAGGGCACCACACACACAAAAATACCTGTAGGTTTAGTGATCAGATTCTAGTCAAAAGTTGTTGCTGGGTTTTCTTTTTTCTTTTATTGAAAAAAATACATATGTTAAAAAACTTTCTTCTGAATGATTATTTTGAAAATTAACAATTTTATGAATTCAGGTTCCAGACAAGTCAAGAATACCAGGGAAAAAAGGGAGTCTCAACTCTCATTTGCAAGGCACGACATTGTTAAAAATATTTCAGACCACATTCTTGAACTGAGGACATAAAATAATACATTATATCTTTCAACATAGAGAAAATTTCAAAAATAAGTTATAACTATGTGACTAAAACATTATATTAAAAGAAAAGAAGGCCTTTTTGTGAGCACCCAAATAATTCCTCCTCTGTACACAGTGACACAAAAGCATTTTTAGCTTTCAGGTTTCAACAAATCCTGTTGTAACAACAATTCCCTCCCTTCCCCGCCTCTCCTTTCTTAATTCTCCCACATCTCAAAAAATGAGATGGAGAACCTGGTATTTATCTTCTAACACCATCAGCAGTTTTTACCTCTCAGATTTCTACGTTGTCCTTTATTTGCTTTTTTCAAGTTAACTTATTGGAGCTTTATAAACATATCCAGAATTTCTGAAATAAGCCTCACGTATATGGTTTTTCTTCACCATAACTAACTGAGGTTAATTTGAAGACAACTGACCGAAGGAGTTAAGACAGTGAAGGCTACTGACAAAAGGTATGGTAAATAAAACCTGTCTTAATGCTTAGAGATCTAAGAATAGGTCTTTCGGTATTATTTAGTTCGAATTATAAGCAGTAAATCTGCTTTTAAATATTATTTTTGATATAAATAAACCTTGTCTGGAAAGCTGACTTTACATTTTAGTGAAATCTACAACAGACTTTCTGTTGGCGAGTAGTTCATAAACTGAAGGTGCCTGGGTTCTGTTCTGTGTGCACTGTGTTTTGGGACCATGAGAGAGTTTTCACTGTAGACCATGTAAGTGTTTACATGCGACCCCTCCCCTCTGCTTCTGCTTGCCTTCACAGTATTTCTCTACCACCACCACCACAGCTGCTGGAACAAAGTGTGCCTTTATTCTCTACGAGATAGAAATTTTGAGAGAACAGGCCACAAACGGTATTATACTCGTGGCTGGAGGGTAAAGCGCAATGCAGCTAAAATGCCAGTATATTTGTATGAGCAGAAAGTGACCTTCATTTGGAGAACAAATTCTTTCTACATAAGTTCTCTATGCAGAAAAAAAAGCATTTGAATCCAATATTCAACAGTAAGCAAGCACTATGCTAATTAAATGACACGTCATATTGTTTACACTGATTTTGGCTGTCTGTAATTGATCACTGCCAGTACTTGTTAATCATGATGAACAAACTGTCTTCATGTCTGAAATATACTGAAAGTTATAAAATATATCAGTTAATGGGAAGAAAAGGATTATAATTGGTAAGCTGAACATAGATTGACAACAAAGGTTATTCAGTCAAAGTAGAAAGAAAGAGAGAGGGAGAGAGAAAAGTGAGCAAGCAGATGCTGTTAGAAAATGTTCCAGCAACCCCACACTTGAAGAATCCCTAAGCTGAAAATGGTCCAGAGGCAGTAATTTAGCAAGCTGGCTGGAGTCCGAAATGCTAAAACCTAAACTTGAAAGCAGCTATTACAAAACTGTAAACATGTGCTTGATTTTTTTTCTAGAAACTTTAACTTTTGTTCTATTTTGGTCTAAGTTTGGAAAACAGAAAAGAAACTGTATGATAGCAGGTGAATCCTAGGCACACTGATGTCTACAGATAAGTCTGACTCTTAAGAACTTAAAATCCTAGGGAAATCCTTTTCTAAAATGGTAAGATTTACATTTTCAGATTATGAACAAAAACAGAACAGCACAATCCAGATAGTCTAGGATCTAATGTCTTAGAGAATCAATGTTTGTAGCTATGCAAAGTTTATACTTTAAATATAGGCAATGGATTAGTACTATTTCAAATATTTAACCAAAGCCAGGCATCAATCTCCTTGCCGAGTCATCTGAAGCTGAGCCATGTGGCCTATTAACATCCTCTACAGTCCTTTTTTTCCTTGGTGGGGAGGGGAGTGGGTGAAGTAGACAGTTAATGGTGCTTTTTGCCTCCAGATACAGTGTTTTCCCTGGTTCCCAAGGGAAACACACAGGGGGAGAAAGAATTTCAGCAGGAAGTGTTGTGGTAAAAGGGGAAAGGATGCGGGATGACCCTGTGAGGTAGGAGGGGTGGAGAGAGATCTGGACGCTGCAGGTTGGCTGCTGAAGACTGTATGACATGGGGTGATATCCTATCTGAACATTCTGATCTGAAAAAACAAGGATGCTTGAGATTGTCTGTCTGAGGTTTCTTTCAGCTCCAAGATTCTATGAAAATAAATCAGCCCAAGGAAGGAAGAGAAAAAGGGAAAAGATCCAAATAATTTTAAACATCAATTGTCACAATACATAAGAAATAAAAATACTAATAATGATGTCAATTTTAAATTACTGAGGACTTTCTGTGGCTTAAATATTGGTCTAAGCCCTTAAAATGTATTAACTTATTTAACCCTATGAACGAAGTATTTCAATCCTCCCCATTTTCCAGAAGAGGATACTGAGGCACAGAGAGGTATAAAGCTAAGAACTGGCCCAAGTGTCTTTGACTCAAGAGCCTGTATCACCTTTTGTAAAATACATATGAATCACGACAGAGCCACTTTAGCATACCATTCAAAATTAACTCAGAATGACAAAGAAAGTCAGTACTGCAGTATTTCAGAAACCATTACATTTTTCTCAAATAAGGCAGTAAGCAGTGCCAGATGGGCTAGATAGGGGAACAGGAATAGAAAGATGGAATCGAAAGCCTTTTTGTTTCTTAAAACACAGCCAAGCCACAAAGTAGGTGGTCTTTTCCTTCCTCTTAAAAATAAACAAAGAAAATAAAGGGTTAATTTATTTCTGGTATCCTTTCACATACAACTAATGATGTGGTTATTTCTGGTATGTATTTTTGAGATCTGCCATCACTACTTCTGAATTGTTCAGAATAGCCGGCTTCATTTGGGCCAGGAAATGATTCTGGTCCCAATTAGAAAGGACCTCATGTTCTTATATACAAAAAACAGTGGCTTAATTGTTTTGAGTACCAGGCACCTGAAGTAAAACAAGTACTAACCTCAGTCAGGATTTTGCAAACAGGTATTAACTAGAACTTAGGGATAACCATGCCAGTGACTCAGACTTCTTTCCACTGCTGTCCTTCCTCCTCAAATGGTTCACTTGGGCTATGTGCCTGGCACTGTGGGTGTGTCATAAAGATCTGTTTATGAAAGCCACTTCCTAAATACTTTTCTAAAATGTATTTATAAACCATCTTTAAAAGGTGGCCTTAATTTATTTTCTTCCTTATTATGTATTGAGTATTTTCATTAAAAATAAAATCATTTGGGCGAGGCGTGGTGGCTCACGCCTGTAATCCCAGCACTTCGGGAGGCCGAGGTGGGCGGATCACGAGGTCAGGAGATCGAGACCATCCTGGCTAACAGGGTGAAACCCCATCTCTACTAAAAATACAAAAAAAAAAAAAATTAGCCGGGCATGGTGGCGGGCGCCTGTAGTCCCAGCTACTCGGGAGGCTGAGGCAGGAGAATGGTGTGAACCCAGGAGGTGGAGCTTGCAGTGAGCCAAGATCGCTCCACTGCACTCCAGCCTGGGTGACAGAGTGAGACTCCATCTCAAAAAAAATAAAAATAAAAAATAAAATCATTTGAAAAACCTATAATGCTATTAAAATTCTTTATCAGATACTATAGCTGGAATTTCAAATGTCTAAATCTCCTAACAACGTACATGTCCACGCTACAGTTTCAGCATATGTTGAGTTTTAAAAAGAATTAAGTGGGCAACTGCTTTCTTTATGCCCTGTATCAACACCACCCATGCATATCACTCAGACCAGTCTTCAAGGCCTGGTGGGAGCTTTTCTCCTCCAGCCTACAGCATCCTCATCTGCTTGGGGGCTGGAGAAGGGGGATACTCAGATGTGTTCTTGGCTCCTACTCTAAAGGGAAGCCTTTTGTTTACTTACTTTCTTTCGCTCAATCCTGGTTTTGCCTTTTTTCCTTAGGCTTTGTTATTTGGTTCTCTACTGCACAGAAATAGATAGAATTCTGACAGCCATCATTGTTAAACATCAGGATTTTCTAAGAGGACAGACTTAACAGTAACATCATGGCCTCAGCAGGACTCCAGCTCCTTGCTTTCATCCTGGCCTTATCTGGGGTCTCTGGAGTGCTCACAGCCACTCTGCTGCCCAACTGGAAGGTGAATGTGGATGTGGACTCCAACATCATAACAGCCATTGTACAGCTGCACGGGCTCTGGATGGACTGTACGTGGTACAGCACTGGGATGTTCAGCTGTGCCCTGAAACACTCCATTCTGTCCCTCCCCATCCACGTGCAGGCTGCGAGAGCCACCATGGTCCTGGCGTGTGTTCTGTCTGCTTTGGGGATCTGCACTTCCACAGTAGGAATGAAATGTACTCGCTTAGGAGGGGACAGAGAAACCAAGAGCCATGCTTCCTTTGCTGGAGGAGTCTGTTTCATGTCTGCAGGAATCTCTAGTTTAATCTCGACAGTGTGGTACACAAAGGAGATCATAGCAAACTTTCTGGATCTGACAGTTCCAGAAAGCAACAAACATGAACCTGGAGGAGCTATCTATATCGGATTCATTTCTGCAATGCTGTTGTTTATCTCTGGCATGATTTTCTGCACCTCCTGTATAAAAAGGAATCCAGAAGCTAGACTCGACCCACCCACACAGCAGCCTATCTCTAACACACAGCTCGAGAACAATTCCACACACAATCTGAAGGATTATGTGTAAATAACTGAGTAATGCATATGAAATGGAACTTTTGGGTGCCAAATGGGACTTTTAGATTAAAAAAAAATCAGAATTATGCTTAACTTTCCCTACAAAGAAAGTAGAATGTAAAATACTTTAACAACTACAAAGTAGTTTAAAATGCCAATAAAACTATCATATACAATTACATCTGTCTGAAGAGTTCTTTATTTTTTCCATTATTGTTTCCATGTTTTACTTAAAGATTTATAATTGAAAGAGGTTCTGATTACATTCATAAGGCAATTATTTGATAGCTTTTTCAAGATAATTTGCTGATACACCTTTCAAACTGGATTTTATAAAAGAACTAAACTGCCAAGTATAAAAAGTACCTTGCCCTGGTGTTAACCAAGAATATTATCCACTTTGCTATCTGGTTGGCAACAACACAGCAACTTGCTTCTGTTTTAAAGCTACAGTGTGTGAAAGTACATTAGGAATACAAGAGCTGCCTACTCCATTCAGATGCTGCTAAAACCATCCATCCCAAGTCCCCACCTCCTGTGACCAGCCCATTTCTTTTTCATTTTAGAAAACTATCTACATATATTTGTAAGAGCTGACAATATTATATGCAAACTAAGATTAGGCAGAACTGAAGAAATTGGTAAATGCTACCACAGTAAAGAAAGCCAAACCAAACTAAAATCTCTAGGACTCTTAAAGCATTAAGTACAAGCTAAGTGATAAGAACAAAAGTTTGTTTTAAAATGTTTAAGAACTCCCTTCTTCTGCTTCTAGCAAGAGGATTCTCCACAGATTAAGTTCATTTATCCTATCACATTCTGGATTTACTACCATCCCACTTCCTCTCTCATTTATTCATATTTGGATGATAAAAGTTACCTTTGTCACTTTTTCTCTCAAATTTCATTCATGTTAACAAAAACATTCTTACAAATAAGCTGTTTCAATTAATGAATGTCAAAATATATTTTAAAGAATGCTTTTAAAATATAAATTATGATATGTGATTCAAATATTTTAGCAAGTAAATAAAAATCTAGGAAACACTGCCCACTATTGTTTCTAACAATTTATTTGTTAATTGAAGCTTAGTCATTGTCAATGATTCAATGGTAAAGGGGAAAAAAGATTATTTCTTTGTACATTAATAACTCAGGAAGTGGGAAGAATATATTTTACGTAAGTAAATAACTTTCATTTGTGCATACAGAAATAGACTAACATATCCTATACCTATTTTACTGGGTAGACATTCTCTTCTGCAACAATGTCATTAGCTATTACTGGAATAGCTAAAACGAAAAGGTATTATCACAAACGGGAATTAGGAAGGGGATCATTTTGTAGAAGGTTAAATGATTGTTTAAAGTATGTATTCCTTTTGAGTGGTCAAAATGTTATTTTATACACAAGTGTCATACTAAAAAGAATTCTGATGCAAAGAATGATTTCATGCAAATTAATGTGCTAGAACTGCTTTGATCCCATTAATAGTTCTTCTCTCACTTTGCTGAATGTGGCTGGGTTTACATAGTCTATGTAGCCTTTAGTCCTACAGTAAAAGTTATCTTTATATCTGCTATATCATTCTATATATACTTCAAAAATAATTTTTATTTAGCTCTGGAGTATTTTCTTCCTAAGTAGAAACACGAATGTTTCAAACTCTCAGAAAACCAGCCATTTTATATGAAATAATGGCCCAGTGTATTGTTTGGAAGTGGCAATCCTGCAATAAATGATGTGGAGTCTCTCTATTCCTACAGGAATTCCTATCCCGCTGTGTTCATTCCTCCACCTGCACTCCTCCCAGCCTCACTCCCTCACTACCAAAGCTCCTGCTCACCCTTCAGGATTCACACGGACCTCTCCTGTAAACTCAATCCTGACAGCCTAGAAGTTCAAGCCCGCATCTGCACTCGCAGAAAATGCTCTATTTAACAAACTATGAATTTAATAAATGCTCTCATTTAATCCTCACAATAGCTCACATGAGCACACCAAGACTTAAGTAATGTGTACTGTGTAAAAACGCTCTATTTAAGAAGTCATGAAATTATGAGTTTACATGATTGCATCTCCAACTAGACTGGGAGGTGTGGTGTCATTTTTAGCTCTGCATTCTCAGTGACATGTCATGGCAAGTGCTTCCTAACACATGCCAGTCCTGGTCTAAAACCTAACACATGCCAGTCCTGGCTTAAACCTAACAACTCTACCAGGTAGGCACTATTCTCAGGATCTTACAGGACACTGAGGGCGACAGAGGTGACATAAGTTCCCTAACTTGCCCAAGTTCACACAGCTAGTAAGTGGGGAGATGGTTCCAACCTGAGGGAACCAGGTTCTGGAGTCAAACTACCCGGGTGCAAGCCCTGGTGTGGGTGCATGGTTACACAGCATGCATTACTTAACTAAGGTCTTGGTTTGCTTAAGAATGGCATCTACCCTCAGAGTTCTCGTGGGGATTAAATGAGATGATACACAGAAAGCAGTTGGTGCACAGAAAGCATATGACTAGTGTTACTCAATGGTTCTTAGTCTAATCCAGTGGCTCTCCCTGGGGTGAGTTTAGCCTGCAGGGGACATTCGGCAATGCTGGGACACTTTTTTGGTTATCTTAACTGAGGTAGTGCTACTGGAATCTAGTAGGAAGAGGCCAGGGATGCCTTTATGTATCTTACAATGCACAGGACAGACTCTGGCAACAAAGAATTATCTGGCCCCAAATGTCAACAGTTCTGAGTTTGAGAAATCATAGTCTAATTTATCGAATATACTTATTCATTCTTCTTTGATAAAAAGTTACCAAAACAAAACCCAAAAGACCAAAAATATCATACTTTTTTTTTTTTTAACCTGTGGAGCACGTGTATATCTATACATATGACTGAAGAATTCATCTAGTAATTCTGACAAAAATGATAGACTTAAATTAAGTCAGAAGAATTGGGTACAAAATTGGGATGGGTTTGGGAGAAATTTAGGTAATGTCAGAAGCTGGTTAACGACTGACTAGTTCTGAGGGTCAGCAGTTGTAAAGGTCTGGGGAGGTGGTGCTTAAGATGACCTCCAAGGTTTAGGCTTGGATGACCTGGGTGGATGATGCCATTAGTCAGCATAGTGAATAAGAGGTGCAGGGAGGGCAGGCCCACTAGGGTAGTTAGACAGAAGTTCAGTTTTGGATGTGGACAATGTTTTCTCATATGTCTTTCATCACTATATTGTCAGCTACATGACTTTAGCAAATACTAACTTACTTGACTTTTGAGATTTTTAGCCTAGCCTATAATTCTGCAGAACACTATCACATTATTATCATTATCTCCAGTTACTTTTGTATTAATTTCATTGCATTTTATACATACATAAAAGTACTGTCTGCAAAAATGCAATTTTGTTTTTTCCCTCCTTGGATTTAGAATACTTACCATTTATTCTTGAGCAGTTTATGGAAGCATGCCTAGTACTGAATTAAAATTGTAATAGCAAATACTCTTATCTCTATTCAACACGTATTTTACCTGATTTTTAAGGAGGATGACTCTGGTACTACTTTAATTATAAAAATGGCTTTTGGTTTATATTTATTTTTATTTTGGACTCAAGGGCTTTAAAAAAGAATTTGAGGCAACTTATAAAATTGCAGGTATAATAAGTATAAAAACAACTGATAAAGATGAAAGACTAAAGTTACAAACAAAAAGAAGAGAGAAAAAATGCTATTAAATGTTCCTGGTTGAAGCATGCTAAAGCAATTAAACATGAAACTTAGTTTAGAACTTCCAAGCAACTGCGGCAGAGAGGTGGCCATGTAAGTAATCTGACAGCTTTGTCTACTGGTAGGAAGCTAGACAGGATGCTGTGTCTTGGCCAAGCTCCTTCCACTGGGCCAGGGCAGCCACCCCCAGCTGCTGGCACTGATGGGTGCTAATGGCTCCCAGAGATGGAGCTGCCTCTACTGGGAAGTGACTGCCCCACTGCTCCCTGCAAAGACTGGCTGGCACAGGTTCCAATAAGCTGGTCCCTTGCCTCAAGGGAACACAGACGCGTGGGGCAATTTGTGCTACACAGCTTCTCCTCCCGCCGTGGTTCTAGGCTGAAGCTCCTCCAGGAGGAACAATATGTTTACTTAGCTCTTCCCCTGCCCTTTCCTGCTACCCTCATGCCCCTTCTCCTGAGGGCCCTTGTCAATACATCACCTTTATGAAAATCCCATCTCAATCTGATTCTAGGAGGAGAATACAAACCAAAGACAGAAGAGTCTTAGTTAAGTAGGAAAACACTAGTGTTCTGACCTCATACCAAAATGATTCTTGAATACAAGGTAAATATACAGCAGAAATAACATCCTCAATGTCAGATTTCAAAAAACACAAAAGCATGAAAAACAGTTGTCTCTTCTGTGGACCCATCCACCCACCAAACTCAAGACTATCTCCCACAGAGGTCAAGGCCTCAATAGCTGTGAACAAGCAGGGTTGGAAGCCTCTAAAACGCTCTTCAAAAGTCAAGAGTGGATGTCTCAAGTTCCAATCTTTTCTTTATATGTCATGGATATATCATTAATTCATCTACAATTTAATGGACACTATTTATGCTTTAAATGTGTACCATGTTTGAAGGTAACTTGTTCTATATACCACACTTCCAAATAGGAAAAATTAAATATAAATTCTATATATAGCTTAAAAATTATAATCCTTATTTTTATATCAGAATACTACAACTTAGTCCATAAATATTTGTTTATATCATAACAATAACAACTACTTTGACTGGCAGCATTCACTGCCAGATACTCATATTAGGCACTCTGCATTGATTATTTCTATTCCTCACAAATGTCCTTCAAGGGTGGTATTATTGGTCAAATCTGGATGTAGTAAACTCAGCCTATTAACCCGACCAAGCTCTCAAAACTAGCAGTACTGGAATTCCAGCAGGTCTAGCTTACTTGGAAGTCTACTGCCTCTACCAGTGTCAATTAAAAAGAACCCGTTACAACTCTCATAATATAACTAAATGATTTTTCTACTAAGTCAGAGTAGAGAATAGTGTTGAGAACTGGCTGGGCGTGGTGGCTCATGCCTGTAATCCCAGCACTTTGGGAGGCCGAGGCGGATGGATCACCTGAGGCCAGGAGTTCGAGACCAGCTTGGCCAACATGGTGAAACCTCGTCTCTACTAAAAATACAAAACTTAGCGGGGCATGATGGCGGGCGCCTGTAATCCCAGCTACTCGGAAGGCTGAGGCAGGAGAATCATTTGAACCCAGAAGGTGGAGGTTGCAGTGAGCCGAGATTGTGCCACTGCACTCCAGCCTGGGCGGCAGAGTGAGACTCTGTCTCAAAAAAAAAAAAAAAAAAAAAAAAATAGTGTTGAGAACTAAAAAGCCTTTCCACTCTTTACGAACTATGTTAGATTATGAAGCCTATCACCATAATTCATAAAAAAAAAGACAGAATTTTGAGGATCTAGCTAATAGCTCAGTATTTCCCAAACTTGAGAAATGTGCAGAGTAGCTGAAAAAAAAGATTAAGCGTGGAACCCCAGAAATATGTGGATTCTCAGGGATCTACAGAGGCTAATAGAGAAAAGCTAGCTTGAGAAACTTAAGAAACAGGTTGTATTCTGTCATGAAAACAATTTTAGTTCTGAATTTGCATTGCAAAAGACATTGTCTTGTAAATGTAAATAATTTCATTAACAGTGAAATGAAAACACAAAATTAAAAAAATTCTAACTTAAAAGCTACATACTACAGACTCTAATAGTTTAAGAGACACTAAAGTAGACCAATTAATTAGTCTAATTTTAAGAACCTCAGAGGTTGTCTGTTTTGCAGACACAAAGTATTTTGGGTTCAAATTTTGGGAACTACACTAGAGAGCTTAATAAGAGTAAAGTTCAGCAGTAATTCAGTTCAACTAGTCAGAACAGGATTGTAATAGTTCAATGGTAGTGAAAGTTCTGCCATTAAAGCTTGATTGAGTTAGTTAAAAGATTGAGAAACAGAAGGGACAGCAGACTCTCACAGGAAAAAATCCCGAAAGTGGTTGTAAGTAAGCCCCTCATTGTATCACAAAAGAAATTCTCTATATCTGATTCTTAGAGTTTTGATTGAGAATAAGTAATGAATGTTAGTAAATTTCTTCTGAGCATTAATCTCCCTCTCTCAACCACCCAGGAATCTGCCCAACCTCTATTTTTAGCGCTTAGCTTATCTTACCTTGTGTTGCAATTATGTGCGTCTAGGACTTTCTCTTCTTGTATGCAGAAGGTTTAGTTAGAGTACTAGCCTTGAATTAGTTTATCATCTCTGTAAAAACTCTTCCTCTTTCTTATTTGAGAAAATGAATTTTTTTTTTTTTTGAGATGGAGTCTCGCTCTGTCACCCAGGCTGGAGTGCAGTGGTGCCATCTCGCCTCGCTGCAAGCTCCGCCTCCCGGGTTCATGCCATTCTCCTGCCTCAGCCTCCTGAGTAGCTGGGACTTGAGGCGCCCACCACCATGCCCGGCTAATTTTTTGTATTTTTAGTAGAGACGGGGTTTCACCATGTTAGCCAGGATGGTCTCGATCTCCTGACCTCGTGATCCGCCCACCTCGGCCTCCCAAAGTGCTGGGATTACAGGCATGAGTCACTGTGCCCGGCCCAAGAAAATGAATTTTTAAAACATTTGCTCAATGTAACTGTCAGCAAAATATTTTCTGGCTTTCTTCAGAACATTTCTGCTTTGCCCTAATATGGTAAAACTACTTCAAAGCAGCAGAGAATTCTTTTAGAACTAAAATTTAGCCTGTAATCCCGGCACTTTGGGAGGCCAAAGCGGGTAGGTCACTGGAGGCCATGAGTTCAAGACCAGCCTGGCCAATATGGCAAAATCCTGTCTCTATGAAAAACTACAAAAAATAGCCGGTGTGGTGGTGCACACCTACAAGTCCTTGATAAGTGCTTTTCTGGATTACAAATAAATCCCCTGTATGTAATAGTTACAATATAATAAAAAAAGTGAAGTAAATTGCTATGAAAATGTTTAATTTGCCAAAACGTAAACATCCCTCAATAAAAAAAGGAATCAAAGACATAGCTAGCTTTTTTCCAAATAATAAATATTTTCTTGTGGCCTTAATCCCAGAGAAGGTAAATTTTAATTGATAAACTACATATGTACCTTACCACTAAATCAAAGATAAAGTGGATAATAACTTCGAAACTCCATCAAATAATCTCAACTAGGTAACTAAAACAGAGTTAGAAAGCTTCCACTAAAAATATTCGAATATCTATCCTAAGAACCCGTTAGTAAAACTTAAATAGCCTGGAGATTCTGGATAATGGTCATAACCATAACTATAGAGGCCTATGAGTAAGGATCTTGGTTTTTGATATAATGAGTCTTACACTATTTAAAATGTTATATGCACACACATGTGCATGACAAGAAGAAATCAAGCTACATGGTCACTGGTTTTTTATTTTTATTTTTTTCATTATAATGGCCACCTGTACTAGGAGAGAAAGTCCCTGAAAGCACAAATGTTTTAAATTTGAAGATAACCTATAAGATACCTCCAGTCATCAAATTCTGTCTTGGATCTAATTATTCTAGGAGAAGTCATTCGCAATGTCTCTGAAGTCTGAGATGCTGAAGGGAGGTGGCACCGATAGCAAGCTCCCTGAGCTCGATTTAGAAAAAGCTGACAATTATGTCTGTTACGTAAGGGGAAGATGGCCTGACTTCCTAGTCACCTGAACGCTCAGCTAACTGGCCAAATGGCAAAGAAGTATGAAGGTGGCAGCAAAGAGCATGGAGATCACTTAGGCGTCTTCAAGACAGACAAGTAGATCTAACACTATTGGTTAGGGTCTCCATTCTAAATCTAGAATCTATATCTAAATCTATAGTCACATAATGCATTTTTTTCCATGCTATCTCTTGTTATTTATGAAGGATACATGATGCAAGGGACACTCTGCAAGACCTTATATTTGAGAGTTTTAGGGACCAGTGAGAAATTTCTATTCCTCATGAGGCTGTGAACTCCCTGAAGGCAGACTCTGTATCGGATTAGGCTCATATCCCTGTAGACTCCCCTTGCTACCCAACGCATTTTCAAACAGTAAATGCTCAATATACATTCACTGAAGAAAAAGATGAGTTTTTAATAGTACACATCTTGTAATAACTCACCAAGCAGTGGTTTTGCTAAAACAGACAACGGTTTTTTTAATTTTAATTTTTGGCAGAGAAACTCTGTTTCTGTAACTAGCACTTACTCACATAACTAGCATATAATATCAAAGCCTAGTTTAATATCCAACTGTTTCTTCCACAGATGATTTACCACAAATAACACTACCATAATAAGGTCTCCCAAAAAAGTGTTAAGTAAATAATGTTTGATGTAGCTTTAGTTAGAGGTCTCTAACAGAAAACACAAAAGTATTTTATTTCTTTTCTCAAATATTGGGTGACCGTGTAACTTATCTTCCATACAGGGATACTTTAAGAGTAACATCATGAAGATGAAGATGATGAATGATACTGCCACCAGGATAACATGCATGAACCTAAACATTTAGTCACCCTACCTAAGGAGAACAATTATAGTAAGAACTAGCTATTCATATTACGATTTTTGTGGTTCTTATTCAGAAGTAAAGTACAGTGTCAGTTTGCACATAAACAAAGGTTAGATCCTAGAGGTTATTTCCTATGACACATCCTCAGGGGAACAAACGTCCTAATTCCGATATACTACAACAAATAAGCAGAAACTTACCTCTGGTTTGGGGACAAAAGCTTGTCCTGGAATCGTAAAGATGTGTCGAACATTGCAGAGGTACTGAGCCATAACAGAGAGGCGACTACGCTGTTTGCTTCCTGTATTGGCTGCAAGTCTCTAGAGAGAGACAAAAATGAATTTTAGCAAATAATTAGTCCAGCCTGATTAGATGAAAAAGAGTCAACATTCCATTATTTCTGAACACTAGGTGGACTTTTTGAGGCAAATTTGAAAAGAATGGGCTATCTGACACATGACACACAGCAAACATGGGGAATATTTTCCTCCAACATCAACTGAGGTACACCTAAGAAATGTGAATTATGTCATATATAATGCACTACAAAAATAAGAACATTTGCTCTACCAATGGCTGTTGGGATTTTTGAACCACTGTTATATTCTATAGCAGAAGGTCCTACATAAAACAAGCAATCAATAAATACTTGATGAAGAAATTAGCAAGCATAATGAAAAATGAAAGATGCTTAAACACTTAATTTTCTGAATCACCCCAATATATGAATGAACATTTTAAATGGTGTGCTTTTCAAATTCACTTAATATAGTAAAACCTTGAGTATTCAGAACCCTTGGGAAATTGGCTGTTCTTGACAAATAATTTTTGTAAAACCTAGTAATTTATTCTTTTAAACACTCAAACATTTTTGTTTTGCAATTAATTAGGTATATTTCAATTAATTCATAAATGCAATGCAATTTCAATTAAAAGTCCAACAAGATTTTAAAAATTAATTTCCATATGTATTATATATATATTTAAATTCCATGTAAAATTTATATAAGGCCAAGAATGGCCAGGACGCTCCTGAAGAATACCAACAATGATAGGGGAGCTCACCCTACCAGACATCAAATTGATGCAGGCCCAGACAGATCAATAAAACAAATGCCTCAGAAACAGACCCAAGCACATTAGATATTTAACACACGATAGATGCGATGTAGCAACTGCTAACAGAAAAGGAAGGATCATTCGGTAAGTGACACCGGTGTAATTAGATATCCATAGGAGAAAACAGTAGGTCCTTATCTCATGCCATAACCAAAAAAACTCTAAGCAAATTAACAATAAGTGAAAAGCAAAATTTTAAAATTTTTATAAGCAAATATCTATGACTTCCATGGTAGGGAAGAATTTCCTAAAGATGTAAAAGCAGAGCTATATAAGAAAAGACAGACAGACAGACACACACACATATATGTATATATGTATGTATATACATCTTTCTAAAATATATGTATCTATGTATGTCTTTTCTTATATAGCTTTGCTTTGGGGACAAAATATATATATATGTGTGTGTATATATATGTGTGTATATATATGTGTGTATATATATGTATATATATACATGTGTATATATGTGTGTATATATATGTATATATATACATGTGTATATGTATATGTGTGTATATATGTGTGTATATATATGTGTATATATGTGTGCATATATGTGTGTGTGTGTATATATATATGTATATATACATATATATATATTTTTTTGATCTTGGCTGGGAACAGTGGCTCATGCCTGTAATTCCAGTGCTTTGGGAAGCCAAAACAGGTGGACTGCCAGAGGCCAGGAGTTCAAGATCAGCCTGGGCAACAGAGCAAGACGCCCTCCTCAACAACAATAACAACAAAAACTACTGTACTTTATTAAAATTTTTAATTTCTGTATAATAAAACATTATAAATGTTTGTAAGTCACAGACTAAGAGAAAGTATTTGAAATTTATAGTGTTCAGAATACAGATGAAATTCCTGTACATCAATAATCATAAGATAAATAGCTAATAGAATATATAAGGCAACTCACATAAGAGAAATCCAAATAAACCATAATATAAACTATGCTCCACCACAGTACAAAGTAGGAATATGCAAATTAGAACATTACATATAATTTCATACACATGAAATGAACAATTAAAAAAAAAACCTAACAGAACCTGATATTGGAGGATATCTGCAGCTATAGGAACTTTCAGATACTGCTAGTGAGAGAGGAAATCTGTACAAGCATTTGTAGCATAATTTGGCAATATACAGTAGAGCTGAAGCTGTGTAAAACCTCATGACCCTCTAGGTCTCTAAGAACATATCCTAGAGCACAGCGTACATACATACTTACACGGGCGATAGGTATAAAAATGTTCATTATGGTATTATGTGTAATGTCAAGAAATGAAAAAAATAATAAAAATCAACATGTGAACGAAAAAATAAACTGTGATAATTCTGATAATGGAATACGAGATTGAATCCCAAAATGGAATAAAAAATAATCAAGTCACAGAAAATTTGTACAGTATAATGCTATTTGTATAAAATCTTGAAAAGACTACTCCTATCATTTACTCTGAGTGTGTGTGTGTGTGTGTGTGTGTATGTGTGTGTGGTGTATTTATCTGCAATGTAAGGATAAAATATGTATGGAAATAATGATGACGAAAGTTTAAGATAGTACAACTCATAGAAGGGAAAGAAAGGGGATAGAAGAGGGCTCCAAACATATCAACAATATTTTATTTCTTTAAAAAAGATATAAAAATATGGCAATATATTAAAATTGAACAGAGCTGAGTGGTGGGTAAAAAAATTTAGGGATGCTTATCTTTCTAAAATGTATCTTGCCTCTCTGTGTTCTTAAGAGCTCAAAGGACATTCTAACCCTCTTCTGAATGATTCAGGGGCAACATTACAAACACCAATGATTACTGGAATAATCCTGGGGCTAGGTAGGCAGGCAGGGGGCCCCACTGCTCAACAGTAAAAGACACAGTGCTTTCTGAGCTGGTTTGCAGCTGCTGGGTTTGCTCTTTCCCGCTTCACTGCAATGCACACACATAGTCTAATCACTTCTTTTCCTTTGCTGCTTGTAGCCTGCCGTGGATGAAAACCATATAATTTACCTTATTAGAGCTTTGCCTTAAGGAAGATTAAAAAATAGGTTCTGTGTGAGATATGGAAGAAACTTCCTATGGGCAAAGTTATAGATTGTACTCAAAGCCAACCTTTCATCTCATACCTCTTCCCCATGACCTTTTTATTTTAAACTGTCTGGCTCTTGTCTGTTTGGAGAGTTGAAATTATTGGGATGCCGTACTCAAGATAAGTGATGAGTTACTATAGCATGTAAGACAAAATATAATCTTTCTTACTAAAATGTAAAACCAAGACACATATACTCTCATACAGCTACAAAAAATGACAGAAGTAGAGATTTAAGTTAAAGAATAAGCTTATGGATCAAGTGGTCAAAAATATTTCTAGTTCTTCATAAAGTAAAAAAGGAGCTTAATCTTACTACTGGCAGAAAATTCAAAAATTCAAAATGCATTGCAAATTTTAATATCCAACTGGCACAATTCAAAAAAGATCTTATTTAAGTATTTAAGTATATTTCACTTAGAACACATCCAGAAACGTCAGGGGAATATGTGTCCCAATCCATTAACCTGACCCATTCAATTCAATCTTTGTAGCATATATCCCCAGGCTGTAGAGATGAAAACATGCGAATCATATATTTCAATTTAGAAAAAAGCAGCACACATAGCTGTCCCTAACTCATTAAGGAAAAATTCAAATCACAGACCAGAAAGCTCTACAAAAGATTTCATTCAAAGCTAGCATAAAACTGAAATGTTCTATCAACCTCAAATATACATTACTGTTTCTGTGATAGATGTACTATTGGGAAAGCTATAAAAATTCAACATCCATTACAAGATAGATGATTTTAGCAACAAAAGGTCAGGAAACCAAACTAGTTAATTTTTCTTTAAAAGGAAACCTCTAACCCTTGAGCTTTTAAAAAGCATTTTGATGGAGTATGAGAAAAACAAGGGGTCAAAGAATTTACAAGGACAGTGGTTTTTTTTTTCTTATTAATCTAAAATAATTTTAAGTACAAGGAGAAAAATTAGGCTTACACTTGAGAAGCTACACAGCCATATATCAGGGACAATGAGAACTATGTAAGGTAATTAATGGAGAGGGTGACTCCCTCCCTGCTTGGGATGTGCTCATCAACAGCCAGGGTCCTCTGGAGATGGTGGGAGAAAAAGAGGCTGATGCTGGACCCAGAAAGAAAAGAACACAGGGCCAGCAGCATCGAGAACTTGCACATCATGACTTTAGCAGAAAACACACTACCTGTACTCAAGTTCAGCCTTCCCTGTAACTACTCCATGACCTTCTGGAAGGCATTAAACCTTTTGAGCCTCAGTTCATCATTTATATTAATAAAATGAGGTTAGATGGGATTAGTTCTCACTTACTGCTTAACAGTCTGATTATATTTTATGAACTGTAACTTCATATTGTCTATATGTCCCTTAATGCATATGAGCTGAATTCTTACACTTAGATCCTGTAGTGCTAGAGACAGGAATAAGACGACGGTGCTCATTTATTTCTGTTTTGTAATTAACAAAGCCAATCAAAGTAAATGTTAAAAAGAGCTTCCTGTGGCTAAAATACAAAATTACATATACAGCCATGTCAAGAGTAAATGGCATATAAGAAAATGCTGCTATATGAAATGGTGCGAATTACTGTCCCTGCCCAAATCTCGCCAAATTGTAATCCCCAATGTTGGAGGAGGGGCCTGGTGAAAGGTGATTGGATCAAGGGGGCAGATTTCCCTCTTGCACGACAGTGAGTGAGTTCTCATGAGAACTGCTTGTTGTAAAGTGTGTAGCACCTCCCCACTCTCTTCCTACTGCTCCAGCCACATAAACCATGCCTGCTTCCCCTTTGCCTTCTGCCATGATTATAAGTTTCCTGAGGCTTCCCCAGCCATGCTTCCTGTAGAGTTGCAGAAATGTGAGCCAATTAAACCTTTTTTTTAAAATAAATTACCCAGTCTCAGGTATCTCTTTATAGCAGTGCATAGAATGGACTAACATAGGGGCTGGGCGTGGTGGCTCACGCCTGTAATCCCAGCACTTTAGGAGGCTGAGGCGTGTGGATCACGAGGTCAGGAGATCGAGACCATCCTGGCTAACATGGTGAAACCCCGTCTCTACTAAAAATGCAAAAAATTAGCCAGGCGTGGTGGTGGGCGCCTGTAGTCCCAGCTACTTGGGAGGCTGAGGCAGTTGAATGGCATGAACCCGGGAGGCGGGGCTTGCAGCGAGCCGAGATGGCACCACTGCACTCCAGCCTGGGTGACAGAGCGGCGAGACTCGGCCTCAAAAAAAAAAAAAAAAAAAAAAGAAAAGAATGGACTAATATAGTATATATATATTCTCCCACTGAAACTTTCACTTGCAAAATGTGAAAATCAGAGGACCAGTGTTACCTAGACTTCTAAGGCATTCCATAAATTATAGACTCTATATAAACTCTTCTCAATATTCATGCTAAAATTGAACTAAAATCAACTTTTTTTGTTAAAGAAAAAGAATTGCATATGGTGAAGTCGAAGCAACACTATTATTAATAACCACAACTGACATGCTGAGTCACCGAAAATATTACTCCACCTCTTCTTAAGCCTCTGTTTCTTTGTGTTTCCCCCCACACAAATAGAGTACATAGTATTTTGTATCTCTATTGTGTTATTCAAGAGCAGAAATACCAAAATAATCATGTCGGCTGAGAAAAATAAATCCACAGATGTGGTTTAATAAGAAATATATTTGGACTTTGTCGCTGGCTCCTAAAGCCCTTGAAATTTCCTGAGTAATCGGCATGTCTTGCTTTAAATTCACAAGTCCCCCAGAGTTTACAGTAATGAGATAACTTAGGATGAGGCCTCTAGGTAGCTCAAGATGGGGCTGGTCACTGAGACCAATTGATTACCCATTACTCAAGTGTAGGTAAGGTGTTTCCCTGAGTTTTTGAGCCATTCTGAAAAATGATTCAATCTGAGGAGGGGGACATGGAACCCTCTGATTTATTTTATAGCTGGTCGCTCAGAACTCCTAGAGGCCCAGATTTGTGACTGTCATCTGAAGTGAGGCGCAGTCTTGTGGGACTTGGCCCTTAACTTGTGGGATCTAACACTAAAAACATGTGGACAGTGTCAGAATTGAATGAAACTGCAGGATACCCAGCTGGTGTTCGGAGAATTGGAGATTGCTTGGTGTGGAAAAAACCCACACATCTGGTGTCAGAAGTTGTATAAGTGCAGAGGAAACAAGAATGGTTTCTGTCAGAACCAACATATCCAAAGGTTGAGAAAAACAACAAAGAAAACTCAGCATGGGCCCAATTCAAACCAACCCAAGAGAATTAGCAGGTTCATGAAGAGGAAATGACAAAGACCTTAAGAAAAGTGGTGATATCATCTCAGGGTTCCTAACAAACATGCAACGGTCCTACGTTTTTATGATGGGAAGTTCCAAGACTCCTGAGAGAAAGATTTTATGGCCAAATCATCTAAAGGAAAGTTTTCCAACCTTGGCATGACTGACATCTTGGGCTGATTAATGTTGGGTGGTTCTTCGCTGTGGGAGGCTCTGCTGTGCACTGAAGAATGCTTCCCAGCATCCCTAACCTTCTATCCACTAGAGACCAGAGCCCCCTCCCTGGTGTGACAACCAAAAACATGTCAGACATTGCCAAATGCCCCTGAGGAGCAGATAAGGCAAAAGTGCCCTTGTTGGAAATGATTCCCCTAAACAGAAACAAGGGTAAAAAGAGAGGGATAGATCTAAGAAATGAAATTCTTATGATACACTCAAATTATCTGAGAGGAAGGCATTTAAAGAATTAAGCTTATGTAGTAGTAGAGTCTATTGATTTCAAACAAATTCTGGCATTAAAAAGTTTTGTTCTGAAACAAGTATAAAGCTGAATAAGTCATAGGAAACAAGAGTTTGCATAAACAGGACAACAGGTGGAGCAGGACTGTCATTACTGAAATGGAAAGGAGATGAGCCTTAGATGCCCGGCCTGAAGAGGACTGGAGGCCCTTCTCAGGCTGCAGCAGAGGCAGGGGGCAGCTCAAACTGAGCCTAGAGGTCTCCTGGGCTCAGGGAGCCAGACCTGGAGATCTGGGAGGCCTCGGCAGGCAGAATTTGTGGGGCAGACTACCAGAGACATGGAAAACGCACACACGCGGTGCTCACACGTGTGCAGGAGCAGCGGGTGGGGGAGACAGGAACAGGAGAGGGAGAGAGAATGTGAGGCAGAGCTCCTGAGGTAGCAAAAGGGTCCCAAGGGTCCCCCAAGTCCCCTGCTGAGCACTGATCTGCAGGTGCCTGAGGCTTGGGAGCCTGAACTAGAACCAGGGGAAGGCAGGAGCAACTGGGGCTCACATGGCTCAAGAGGCCTTGTAACATGCAGGGCGTTGGGTGCCTTCCTCAGAAAGGGCATGATGTAGTACTGGGGCTCAACGAGCCCCAAATTAAAAGCTACCCTGGATCCACCAGAACAATAAAAGCCTCAAGCAATCTTATCTATGTGTCACAACAAACCCAACACTCAACCCAATACCACAAAATCCAGCCCTCATCAGCATTAAAAAAAATAAAACTCTCACAATACCTGATGTTTTGTCAGAAATTATCAGGCTTTCAAAGAAACAGAAAAATGCAACCTATAGCAAGAAGGGGAAATCAATCACTAAAAGAGTACAGAAATGATAGAGGTAATGAAATTAGCAGGCAAGGATCTTAAAACAGCTACTTATTTGTTCAATTTTTTGAGACAGGGTCTTGCTCTGCCGCCCAGGCTGGAGTGCAGTGACATGATCACGGCTCACTGTAATTTGATCTCCTGGGCTCAGGTGATCCTCCCACCTCAGCCTCCTGAGTAGTCGAGACCACAGGCATGCAGCACCGGACCTGGCTAATTTTTTATTTATTTTTTGTAGAGACAAGGTAACATAGGGAGCTATGTTACCCAGGCTGGTCTCGAACTCTGGGCTCAAGCAATCCTCCCACCTTAGCCTCCCAAAGTGTTGAGATTACAGGTGTGAGCCAGCACGCCTGGCCAAAACATCTACTTTAAATATCATACATACATACATACATAGAAAAATGCCAAGGAAGGCATGAATGTAATGAGGACAGAAAGAGAAGATCCAAAGACCCAAATGGAATTTAGAGATAATTTTTTTTCATAATAGTTAACCAAATATCCATGCATTTACTTAATTCTTTCCTTCACTGCTGATTTTTGATCTGACCATTATCAGATACTGCTAAGGTGTCTGCATCGGGCTTTCTAGTCTAGTAATTGCTCTGTCACGTGCTGCTTCTCATACTGCTTTAATTATTAAAGCTTCACCATACATTTTAGCATATGACAAGGAAGTCTTTTCTCATCACTCTCCCTTTTCAACATTTCTTATGTATTGTTGCAGGTCTATTCCTCCAGATGATCCTTAGAACTGCGTATTTCAAGATAAGTTCTTTGAGGATTATAATTAGATATACAGAATTCTTGGAAAAATCAGCTTCTTTAAAATAATCATTTTTCCTTCTGGGGCTATGATATTTTTCTGGATTTATCTCAGTGACCTTGAGATTCTCAGTTAGGTTTTGTAGTTATTTTTATATATGTCTCTCATTTTTTCTTAGGTTTTCAAAATAATTATTTATCTCCAAATAATATTTTTGTACTTCTCATTCCAATAATGGTATATTTCCCTTGATTCACTCCCTGTTATATTTAGTTTTCTATTTATTTATCATGAATTCAATCTTAAACTCTCCTGAGTTTTTGCAACTTTTTTTTGACTCTATGCAAACTTGACAGTAGTTTTATCAAATTCCCCTTTTAATTGGCTCCAATCTGGACTGGTTGTTCTTCCTGAGGACTCCTTTCTCTCTGTCCTGTAGGGAGCCCTCTGCTTCCTGGATTTCATGTCATTTTTTTCTTGATGTTTCTAATCAGACCAATGCTTATATGATGTATCTAACCAGACCAATGCTGACAGAGGTGCTGACAGGGATCAACGAGGGCTGACTTGTGAGTAAATGGAGCTAGGTTAGTTGGGACCCATATGTTAAAAATAGTAAAATTGCTTCTACTTCACTATACACAGAGATCAAACCCGAGTGGACTATAGATATAAATGTGAAAGGTAAACATAAAGCTTCTAGAAGATAACAGAAGAATATCTTCATGAACTCAAGATAAAAGTGTTTCCTCAACAAAACACAAAAAGCACTAGACATAAATTTAAAATTAAGAATGCTTGCTCTTCAAAAGACACCATAAAAAGAAAATAACAACATGCAATAGAGTAGAAGAAATGCTCAACACATTTAACTAAGGACTAGTATGAAGAGTATTAAAGAGTATGTGAGAACTCCTCCAGATCAGTAGGAAAAAGATAAGCAACCCAAAAGAAAGGTGAGCAAAAAGCATGCACTAAAAACAAGGAACTCAAAAAGGCCAGTAAACACACAATAGTGCCCCATTTTGCTACAAACCAGCAAGGACAAAAGAAAACACAATGACATTCCATTACCCTGAGATTAATAAAAATGTACAAGTCTGGCAATAGTGAGTACTGGCAAGAATATGGAGCAAAATGAACTCATACACACTGCTGGTGGGAATATAAACAGGCGTGATGATTTCAGAGATCAACTTAGCATTATCTATGCAGTGGTGAAGATTTGCAGTTCCACTCCCAGGTAAATACCCTAGAGAAATGTTGCCCATGTGCCCCAACTGACACAGTATGGGATGTTTACAACAGTTTTGTTTGTAAAAACAGAACGATGAAACTAATTCATGGTCCACCAACATGAGAATGAATAGATAAGGATCTTACACAGTCAAATAGTGGGTAGTATATATAGCTACCTAAATAAACTACAGTCATAAGCAACGTCAGTGAATCCTACAAAGAATGTTCAGGATAAAAACAATACATACTATATGAATACACATTATATAAACCCAGTTGTCAAAAGTGGACAAAACTGGGCTGGGCGCAGTGGCTCACGCCTGTAATCCCAGCACTTTGGGAGGCTGAGGCGGGTGGATCACGAGGTCAGGAGATGGAGACCATCCTGGCTAACATGGTGAAACCCCGTCTCTACTAAAAATACAAAAAATTAGCCGGGCGTGGTGGCGGGCGCCTGTAGTCCCAGCTACTCGGGAGGCTGAGGCAGGAGAATGGCGTGAACCCGGGAGACGGAGCTTGCAGTGAGCCAAGATCGTGCCACTGCACTCCAGCCTGGGTGACAGAGTGAGACTCTGTCCAAAAAAAAAAAAGGACAAAACTAAAGTGTATTCATCATAGGAATATAAATCTGTGTGATAAGACTATGCAAGGGAATAAATCCAAAATTCACAGTAGTGATCACCTTACTAGCATGGGATGGAAAGGAGATGCAATCAGAGTAAGGAATACAATGGGGTCTCAAAGGTACTAGTGATTTAATTACCCATGTTGGGGGTGGGGATTCAGGAGTTCCCTTTATTAAGTCATCCATGTACATGGGGATTCAGGAGTGCCCTTTATTAAGTCATCCATGTACATTATACAGTCATCCGTCAGTATCTGTGGGTTCCATATCCATGGATCCAACCAATCCCAGATCAAAAATATTCAGGGAATAAAAAAGGATGGTTGCATCTGTACTGAACATGTACAGATTTTTCCCTTATCATTATTCCTCAAATAATACAGTGTAACAACTATTTATAAAACATTTATACTGTCTTAGGTATTACAAATAATGTAGAGATGATTTAAAGTATATGGGATGATATGCACAGGTTATATGCAAATACTACACTGTTTGACATCAGGGACTTGAGCACTTGTAGATTTTGGTATTTGTGGGGGTTCTGGAATCAATCCCCTATGGATACCAAGGGATGGCTGTATACTCTTGTACTTATATGTCATAATAAAATTTTTTTAAAAAACCACTTAAGAGTCTGCACATCCGTCCTTATACCTTTGCAGCTCAAGCACCACCCCTGCTTACCCTGGAGGGTTTACTTTCTAGAGTGAACCCAGAACACTTCTGCCATGGGAATGCAGGCATAGCAGACTTCACTGAGGTGAGGGAGGAAGTACAATTTATATACTGAATAATGAGACCCTCAATCCCCTTCTCTTTCTCAGCTCCAAATTGATTATCACATTCTTCCCGCATGCCCCGCCGAGACAGAGTCTTGCTCTGTTACCCAAGCTGGAGTGCAGTGGCACGATCTTTGCTCACTGCAACCTCCGCCTCCCAGGTTCAAGCAATTCTCCTGGCTCAGCCTCCTGAGTAGCTGGGATTACAGGCACCCCCCACCACACCCAGCTAATTTTTTTTTTTTTTTTTTTTTTTTTGTATTTTTAGTAGAGACGGGGTTTCACCATGTTGGCCAGGCTGGTTTCAAACTCCTGACCTCGTGATCCGCCTGCCTCGGCCTCCCAAAGTGCTGGAATTACAGGCATGAGTCACCATGCCCGGCCAATTATCATATTCTTTAACTGCCATGCCATTAAGCCTAAAGGATCAATTTTAAGGTATCACGTGCCAATCCTGGGTATGGCCAACAGGGCATCACTTTTGTCTTTCTCCAGTGGCATCGATGGCTGTTGCATCCCTGTGTTTACCACACTACCTCCTTGGCTAACATACATCATTCATGTTTTCCCAGAAGCCCACAGCAGTTACATCTGTCATCATCATCAAAGTTTTAACTTTTGGCTGAGCTGCTGCTGGGTTCTTGTGTGTGTAATAAGATATTAACTTAGAAAACACAGACTGTGGTAAAAATGCAGTATTATTATTTTGCTTTGGAATTTGAACATGTGATAAAATAGTCACAAAATGTTAAAACTTACCTCTGCCACTTCCTTTTGAAAAGTCAAAGTCATCTGAGTTCTGCCATAAACAAAAGGTCCATCTCTACAGGAAATATTTTCAAGCCACTTGATAATCAGTGGAGTTGAAACACTAAAAGGCAGATTTCCAATAATATGTACATTTGGAGGATCTGGTGGCAGAGGAAAAAACAACCTGAAATGATTCCATCAATATATTCTGAATACAATTTCAGTGACGAGTAAAATCAGACTGGATATTAATAGCATCAAAGAAAAATATATAAATAGACATGGCTAAATTTTTTTTTTCACTTATTATTCAAAAGCAATGTTTTCTCACAATCTGCTTTGGATTATTGAGGAAAAAATTATACTTAATTACTGCTCAGTTACTCAGAGAAAAGTCCTTGAATTTCTGGCCTAGGAAATACAGGAAAAAGAGTTGGCTTGAGGAAAAAGAGAATTCATTTTGGACATGATGAGGTTAAAGTGCCTATGGAACACCTAGATGAAGCTGTCAGAGGTCAGATGCCCAGGAAGGGGGTACAGGCAGCATATAAAGATGTGAATGTCTGCAATACGTAGGTGGTAAGTGAAACCATAGGAATGGAGTAATCTGGCAAATTTGCCCAAAAAGAAAAACCCCAGAAACAACAATCTGTACAAAGTGGGTAGAAAAACAACCACCAGCTAAGAATAGTTAGAAAAAGTTCACAAATGTAAAAGGAAAAACAGGAGGGGCTGGTATCAGGGAGAAAAAGAGCAAGAGAAATCCTCCGGAAGACTATGGATTACAGTTAAATGAATTTGGGAGAACTCAGTCAGATAAGGTTTGAAACAGGTAATGAGGAAGGCATTGTGGTTCCAGTGTGGCTGGGCTGGGGCAGAAACCTGAAGACTGCATGCTAAGAACAGGAGGGCCTGTCAGCTGGCAGAGACTGCAAGTGCGGCCCAACTGAAGGAGTCTGGTCATGGGGGAGGCCAGAGACATGGGGGCAGCCAGATGTGGAGGCACCTAAGCCCTCCTCCGTTTGTTCTGAGAGTCTGTTATAGGAAGAAACATACCCTATTTATCTATGCATTCTGAAGGGCTGCACACAGCAGGTACCCAATAAACACTGTCTGTGAATGAAGACTGCCTTGGTTGGTCATTGAATGTGAAGAATAATAGAAAAAGTTAAAACAATGGCTTGGGCATGGCTTAGTTTACTAAAGCACTTCTTTTTTTCCACTATTTGGAACAAATAACAATTGATAGTTTACCCTATCCTTATATGGTATCACAAAAAATGGTTAGTTTATTTGCACAGAATACAAAACATTTGGAAATGAGACAAATGAATTAGAACTAAAAAAAGTAACTAGATTTTATAATTTGGAAGCAAGTAGCAAGAGAAAATTATAATACACATTATTTAATTCTGTTCAGATAATTTAAAATATAAACATATAAGACATTTGTAATAAATGTATCATAAAATGAACATTTGTGATATAAATAATCATAAAAGAAATGTTTTATAACTACCCAAAAGCACTCACCATCTTCCCAGGGTCTTTTAAGACTTTCTGAAAAAGCCTTTTCTACCTTAAATGTCAAGACATCTCCATGAACAATTCTCAGTTTCCCAGGTGCTGCATCAGAAAGCATCTAGTTTATAAAAAGATCAGTAAAATGAGCTCATATACTTATGCGAGTAACAAAACTAAACTTTTTAAACCTGTGCATTTAAAAAATCAGTTAAAAAAGTCAGAGACCAGGGGTGATCATTAATGAACAAATACTGCATCACGTCTATTGCAACAGACAATGGTGGCGTTTCATTTTAACACCTATGAATGATTAGGGATAGTAACAGACAGTACAACACTAGCTTACAATTTTACAAATATATTAGTGTAATTTTGACCTTCAGGATGACTTCTATTTCTATATAGATTTAGCAATAAACTCACTCCTATCAATAAGTTTTTAAATTAGAGACTAAGGACATTATCATGAAATACAGAGAATTAATCAGGAGTCAACCATATGAAAGATAAGCTTAATTTAACTAAATCTTTATAGCCTAAATATATATACAAAGGATTCTATATATCATCAAGATCTTTAACTTAATATATGCGTAGATTTAGCCAAGTAGAAAGTCACCTGTCGATGCCAGTCTCCACTTGGCACTCCGAGATACTCCTCTGACCAGAGCATCCCTAATCTTAATATTTGTTGATCCATACCCCTTATCGACCTAATGAATTACCCTGGATGTTTAACAATAGCTACTTCCCAACCTATTTCCACGTACTAATCATTTGCTTTCTTTCCTTTTCCTTCTCTTTGTGAGCAAAAAGGGGAAAAAAAGCACTTTTTCCCTTGTAGTCTTTTTCTTCTTCATTCCACCTACTCTACCACCACACTCTCACAGTACTGAAGAGTTGGCACTTAATTCAAAAAACTTTATAGCTAAGTTATCTATAAATTCATATTGTGTTAAGTGCCCCATGCCCAACACAAAACTGATTCTTGAAGTCCTTAGTTAAATATTAAAAAAGTCTCTGAGCTTATAAATTTACTTAAAAGGCAGGAGTGAATGTATCAACGAGAAGAAACATCACTGCTAAGGTAGATTTCAAGGGAAGAAGTGACTCTCTTCCCACATTAAGTCAGAGCTCGGAGAACCTTGGCTTCAACTCAGTTGCCAAGATTCTAGAATGTGCCCAGCACTTTATAGGGATGGTGAACAGGCTCAAAGGGAACATTTGCCCTGAGCCTACCTTGGTCCTAATTCTCTAGGTCCATTAAAGCTGATTTTTTTTCTCCTAACACCTCTCCTTGCCCAACTCATACAACCAAGAGGGAGGATAAACAAGATGATCACAGAAGCCAGAGAGGAGACACTGGACCAAGAAACATGGCTTGTGGATTAGTCCACCTTTGTGTCAACACTGTACTGTGCGTCTGCCTCTTTACAGCACTTACAAACTGTATCTCAATTTCCCCTGCAAGGACATATGCTCCTTAAGGGCAGGACCCATTTCCTATCTACCTTTATAGCCCCTGTAGCTACAGCAATGCATGGTGAGTGTTTAATACATATTTAAGAAGTGCATGAATAAGTGAATGACCAAATGGCATTCAGGTCTCTGTAAAGCTGGAAACTTTCTCTTTTAGCCTGGGAGATGTTGGCTTCCCAAATTTGTAGGGTCTAGAAACTTGCAAAGATTTACTTCACAAGTCAATCAGGCAGATTTATACAAATAATCTTCCAGAAATAAATAGCTGAAACGCCTCTATTGGTAAGAGGCTAAACATACTTTTAAGTCTGGAAATCATCTAGTTTGATATGTTTAGCCATGGTAGTTTAGCAAAAATAATTGCATGCCTCTGATACTAATGTACTTATAGATTATTTTAAATTACCACTAGTTAGTAAAACTTGATCTGGTGAGTTCCAGGCAATAAATCTTGGAAAATATAACGATTTCAATATACTAAAAATTTAAAAAGAGACAGCTCTCTATGCGGCATGCTCTTAATGTATAAAACCACATATTTAATCACAGTACTTATCATCAATGGAAAACGCTAAAATTTTTTCTATAATTATGTTCACAAAGTTAAAACAAATTAGCACGCCAAAAACAAAGAGGCAGAACTAATAGCTTAAGTCTCATGATGTCAATATATAGAAAGTATTTAATAATTAGTAGTTAGGACTAAAACACAACAGAACAATGTAAATTTGGCTGTTTGACGTTAACTTAATTTGAAGTGTTAACTTTTCCCACCCTGACAGGTACAACTGTATATCTAAAAGCTAATATAATATAAATAAATTTACCTTCCTTTCCTGGGTTTTCTTTTTTGTTTTTGTTTTTTGTTTGTTTTTTGAGATGGAGTCTCGCTCTGTTGCCCAGGCTGGAGTGCAGTGGTGCAATCTTGGCTCACTGCAACCTCTGCTCCTGGGATTCAGGCAATTCTCTTGCCTCAGCTTCCCTAAGAGCTGGGATTACAGGTGTGCACTACCACACCTGGCTAATTTTTGTATTTTTAGTAGAGACGAGGTTTCACCATGTTGCCCAGGCTGGTCTCTAACACCTGACCTCAAGTGATCTGCCCGCCTTGGCCTCCCAAAGTGCTGGGATTACAGGTGTGAGCCACCATACCCAGCTCCTTTCCTAGGTTTAAAACTACATTTCTTTTGGATTCCCATTCACTTTTCAATCTCAGTCAATGACAAACCAAATCCTCCCCACACTTTAAAAGGTACACCTCCTTCTTGACAATTTGTAGCTTGATCTACTTTGCAACTCCCCACTGCAGAAGGAATGAACGCTCATGTTAACAGATTTATGTGAAGTCCTTAAAGCAATTATGGGGAAACAGTGCTAGACAGACTAAATTGATATTATGATTATAGACAGTACCCTTTTAAACACTTCAAATGATATTAGGCAATAACACATGAAGACCTTCTAGCCAACCAGTAGCAGAAATGTTTTCACTACCATAATGATACATGGGGTATGGTGGAGGGGGTGGGAAAATCACTATTATATGCATTCGAGAATAACAATGGAGCATTACACTTCAAAACCCTGGAGGTGTTTTCACAGAATGTGCTTAAAGGCACAGCCAATCACAAATGCAGGCACCAGATTACAGCCAAATGAGTATTTTTACAGACACTCTCAAACTCTTCTTTCATTTTTATTTTAGTGTTCAATTCTATATTCTTCCAAAATGAGATGTATGCCAGTTTAGAGTAAAAGGCATCATTACATAAGGCTATAAAAGAAGAAACCGAAAATCAAACCATGAAGAGGGGAAGCATATATGTAAAACACAAGAGCTAACAATCCTAACAATCATGACAGCTAGCTCTCGTGATTTACATAATGAAATATATAATTTTTGCTTTTCAATAGTAGTTGTACCAAGACTCCAAGAGATAATTTTTTTTTCCCTGGTATTATGCTTTGTAAAGGGTACATGAAACAATGTAATAAACAATGCCTTTAATACAAGTTAAAACACAAATGTAGAAGCATTCTTTCTGTGGCCATTTAAAAAAAAATCTCTTCTCTAACCAAAGTCTTAGTGAAAGCTCCTCTGCAGGGGGCAAGTAATTGTGGTTTGGCTAGGCAGCTTTTTGTTGATTTTACTGGATGAGGAAAGAATTTAGGCAATTCTTAGAACTTACACAAAATTATCGATTCCTTAAGAAGAAATACTACATTGAATACCCATTTTGCATATTTTATGTCACCTTCTCATGTAAGGGGTTCATGGCAGCCAACACTGTAGTTACGTTAATTATCTTCTTCCTGATTTGCCACATAGTAGGGCCCAAATGCTGTTGAAATAAATATTTGTAACAGGGCTGGGCAAAACTGTTAAGCAAACTGTATGAGAAGGAAAGAATCTATAGTATAAAATATAGTAGGTGAAAGATAAAATTTGTATTCTTATATATAACACATATAAAAGACTACTGCTATTTATTCATTAAAAAATTAAGATGTTACAGCAGACTTTTCAGACTTTTAGAGGGAAGGTTACAGCATGATGTCAAAATGTCAATTAGCTTGCTTTATTTTTTTTTAGTATGTAAAATAACTTGAATTGTATTAAAAATGTACGTTTTCAGACTTTCTCAGTATTTTAAATTTATGAACAGAGCAAAAACAAACAGAAATCACATAACCACTCGTATCTTAAATGATACTACAAATATCTAAAATTATTTTTATAGGAATTTTAAGTTTGTTGGATATTTCAATGTCATTATCAAATCTTTCACTCTCTTTTTTAAATTTGACATTAGATTTGTATTAGTCCGTTCTCATGCTGCTAATAAAGACATACCTGAGACTGGGTAATTTATAAAGGAGAGATGTTTAATTGACTCACAGTTCAGCATGGCTGGGGAGGCCTCAGGAAACTTACAGTCATGGTGGAAGGGGAAGTAAACACGTCCTTCTTCATATGGTGGCAGCAAGGAAAAGTGCCAAGCAAAAGGGAGAAATGCCCCTTATAAAACCATCAGATCTCGTGAGAGCTCACTGATGAGATTTGAGTAGGGACATAGCCAAACCATATCAGATTTTATTCTATTTGTTTGTTTTATTTTTAATTGACACATAATAATTGTGTGTTCTTACCACAAATAAATGATAAATGTTCGAGGTGGATATGCTAATTATCCTAATTTTATCATTATACATTGTACACAACGTACAGGTATGCCAACGACACAACCTTCTTCCTTAGGCCAATGTATAGGGATGCTATATGGCACAATCCTCTTCCTTAGGCCAAGAACACTAAACCAAATTTCACCCTTTTCTTGATGACCTAGGGTTACTGTTGTCTTTAGAATAATGGCCTCAATAGTTACGAAGGTGTTTTTGCTACCCTATTATTATTATTGTTTCTTCTGCGTTTATATTTGTCTTTTATAGCTTTCTGTTACTGTAACAACTGTTACTTCTTACAGTTGTCAGTGGGCCTGCTTCTACCACTGATCTCCGTACTTATACTTTGTATGGACTAAAAAGTCACTTTGGCTGTAAGCCACTTTTTGCTTACTTGTTGAGTTTTGTCTATGTTATGATTAACTATGGTAACATCAAGTAAGTTACATGTGTAAAGTAAATAGTTACGTCACAATAGCAAGGAAGGCAATCTTCCTTTTTAAAAAAATTGTTAGAGATTAAAGAATTTCAAAACTTCATTATCTCTAACTAAAAATAGCTCTTTCTGCCTGGACGCTGAAATTACCTCATATGTCTCTTAATAAGATGACTGGAAGGGGAATAATTAAAATAGCAACTATTACTGGCTACTGGGATTATGCCAGGCTCTTTACATCCATTTCTATCCATCTTTGCAATATCCACAGAAGAGAACTATTATTCCCATGCTGCAGATGAGAAAGTTGAAGCTAAAAAAGGTTTAACAGCAAGCTTAAGGTCACAAAGCTAGTAGGTGGCATATCTGAGATTTGGTCACTAGACTATTTGATGCTCAATCCCATGAACTTTCCACTATGCCAATGAAGTATGGAAATAACCAGTGTTTACCTATAAGAAAACCCAAAGGTTAGGAGGCCAAGGCAGGTGAATCACCTGAGTTCAGGAGTTCGAGACCAGCCTGGACAACATGATGAAACCCAGTCTCTATTAAAAATACAAAAAATTAGCTGGGCATGGTAGCGGGCGCCTGTAATTCCAGCTACTCGTCAGGCTGAGGCAGGAGAATCGCTTGAGCCTGGGAGGTGGAGCTTGCAGTGAGCCGAGATCACGCCACTGCACTCCAGCCTGGGCACCAGGAGCGAAACTCTTGTCTCAAAAAACAAACAAACAAAAAACCAAAGGCAATACTAACAATACAATGACTTACTTTCTCTCTCCAAAAATTCCTCAAAACAACCACATAATTTAATGGTTAAGAAGAATCCTGAAACTTCCTACTCCGACAAAGATGGAGTCTAAGGGACCAGGCATATTCTCCTACCTTAAACCAATTTAAAAAACAGAGAAAATAGATGAAACAAAATTTTCAGACATTAGACAACAAAAAGCACAGGAAAACCTACAGATCCAAGAAGCTCAATGAATTCTACACACAAGAAACACGAACAAAGCTACTGTAAGCACATCATGATGAAATTGCTCAAAAACAGTAGAAAGTATCAAAAGCAGCCAGAGAAAAAAGAACAAAGGTAAGGATGAAAAAAGATTTGTCAGAAACTTTTTGCAATGCAAAAAGTTTGTCAGAAACAATGCAAGTGAGAAAATGGCGGAGCAACTTTTTTAGAGTAATAAAACAAAATACTGCCACAATATTTTCCAAAAATGAAGGCAAAAATGAAGGCTTTTTCAGTCTTCAGTCTATAGTAATAAATACAGGTGGCTGTTGGTGAAACAATAGACCTATAGATAAATAGAACAGAATTGGAAGTTCAGAAATAAACCGACACACATAAAACCAACTGATTTTTGACAATAGTACTAAGGCAATTCAATGAGGAAAAGACAGTATTTTCAAAAAATGGTGTTAAAAAAAGAACCTAAACCTTACCTCACACTATATGCAAGAATTAGCTCAAAATGTATCAAAGACCTAAATGTAAAAGCTAAAATTATAAAATAATTTTATATTATTTATATATTATATATTTATATATATACATAATTATATATTTATATATATAAATATATATTAAATTATATATTTATATATATATTAAATTATATATTTATATATATATTAAATTATATATTTATATATATATATTAAATTATATATTTATATATATATTAAATTATATATTTATATATATATATTAAATTATATATTTATATATATAAACATATATTAAATTATATATTTATATATATAAATATATAT
Organism: Homo sapiens; assembly: GCF_000001405.40. Classification (NCBI taxonomy): domain Eukaryota; kingdom Metazoa; phylum Chordata; class Mammalia; order Primates; family Hominidae; genus Homo; species Homo sapiens. The sequence goes on from NC_000006.12 coordinate 155,305,348, forward strand.
TAAATTGTATATTTATATATATAAATATATATTAAATTGTATATTTATATATATAAATATATTATTAAATTATATATTTATATATATAAATATATATTAAATTATATATTTATATATATAAATATATATTAAATTATATATATAAATATATATTAAATTATATATTTATATATATATTAAATTATATATTTATATATATAAATATATATTAAATTATATATTTATATATATATTAAATTATATATTTATATATAAATATATATATATTAAATTATATATTTATATATATAAATATATATTAAATTATATATTTATATATATAAATATATATTAAATTATATATTTATATATAAATATATATTAAATTATATATTTATATATATATTAAATTATATATTTATATATATAAATATATATTAAATTATATATAAATAAAACAAATTTTTAGTGATCTTGGTTTGGCAAATATTTTAAAAATAAGACATAAAAAGCATAAAGTCTAGAAGAAAAAACTGATAAATTGCACTTCATAAACATGAAACTTCTGTTCTTCAAAGACATTGTTAAGAAAATAAAAAGGTAAGCCACAGCTGAGAAAACATTTGTAAAATCTGTATCTGACAAAGCCTCACATCTGAACCATATAAATATCTCTTAAAATTCAATAAGACAAAAAAAGTAAAAGTACTAAAAATATTTGAACAAATAATTCCCCAAAGAAGATACAAAGATGGCAAATAAGCACATCGTATGTCCAGTATTATTATCTATTAGGGAAATGCAAATAAAAACCACAAGAGGATACCATTACATATTCACTAGGATGGCTAAAATTAAAAAGACTGACCATACCAAGTCTGAGCAAGCATGTGGAGCAATGGGAGCTCTGAAATACAGCTGGTGGGAATGTAATATGGCACAGTCATCTTATAAAACAATTTGGTATTTCTGTAAAAAGTATAATATACGTCTACCACAGGACCCGGATATTCTACACAGGACCCGGATATTCTACTCCTAGGTCTTTACTCAAGAGAAATGGAAGTGTGTATCCACACAAACACTTGCATATGAATGTTCATAAAAGCTTTATTACAGTATAAGAGCCAAAAAAGGGAAAAACCCAAAGTCTATCAACAGGTGAATAGATTCACAAATTTGGTATATTCAGAAAATGGAATGCTATTCAGCAATAAAAAGGAGCAAACTACTGATAAACACCTCAACATGGATGAACTGCAAAATAATTATGCTAAGTAAAAGATACCAGACCAAAAAAAAAGTACATATTGTATGATTCCATTTATATAAAATTCTGAAAAATAAAAAATAATCTACAGTGACAGCAGATTAGTGGTTGTCTGAGATAGATAAAGGGGGAAGGAAGGGACAGATTACAAAGAAACATGAGGAATCCTGAGGACGATGAGTGTTTATTTTCTTGATTGTGATAATGGTTTCATGCAATCACATATATGTCAAAACTCAGTTAACTGGACGCGGTGGCTCTTGCCTGTAATCCCAGCATCTTGGGAGACTGAGGTGGGCAGATTGCTTAAGCCCGGGAGTTTGAGACCACCATGTAGAAATGGTGAAATCCCATTTCTACAAAAAAATACAAAACTCAGCCAGGCATGGTGGTGTGCACCTGTAGTTCCACCTACTCAAGAGGCTGAAGTGGGAGGATTGCTTGAGCCCAGGAGGTCAAGGCTGCAGTGAGCTGTTGAGTTGTGCTTGTGTCACTGCACTCCAGCCTGGGTGACAGAGTGAGACCATGTCTCAAACACATACACACACACACACACACACACACACACACATATACACACAGACAAATCCTCAGTAATTTGTACACTTTAAGTATGTGCAGTTTACTGAGCATCAACTGTATCTCAACAAAGCTGTAAAACAAAGTGTATTAGCTCGTTTTCATGCTGCTGCTCATAAAGACATTCCCGAGACTGGGCAATTTACAAAAGAGGTTTAGACTCACAGTTCCACATGGCTGGGGGAGGCCTCACAATCATGACGGAAGGCAAGTAGGAGCAAGTCACATCCTACGTGGATGGCAACAGGCAAAGAGAGAGCTTGTGCAGGTAAACTCCCATTTTTAAAACCATCAGATCTTGTGAGACCCATCCACTATCATGAGAACAGCACAGGAAAGACCCACCCCCATGATTCAATCATCTCCCACTGAGTCCCTCCCACAACACATGGGAATTACGGGAGCTACAAGAGGAGATTTGGGTGAGGACACAGAGCCAAACCATATCACAAAGTATTTACTGTGATAAACTCTCCATAAATATTAGCTATTATTATTTTTAATATATGAAGCCTTTAAAACAGTGCTGTGCAATTGCAATCTTTTGGCTTCCCTCGGCCACACTGGAAGAAGAACTGTCCTGGGCCACACATAAAATACACTAACGATAGCAGATGAGCTTAAAAAAAATGCAAAACAAATTTCATAATGTTTTAAGAAAGTTTAAGAATTTGTGTTGGGCCGCAGGCAGCCCGTGGGCCGTGTGTTGCACAGGTTTGCTCTAAAATAAACAGAAAAAAAAAAAAAATGAGAGGAAATCTGTACTACTTCTCTGAAAGGGTACGAGTGATTTACGAATTTATCTCCAGTTCACAAATGGAGAAGAACCTATCAAAGCTTCAAATTCCCTGAGATGTCAGGAAATCTAAGTTATTTCCAGTTCAGAAAGAGGAAAAACCTATCAAGGCCTCAAGCTCCTTGAGATTCAGGAAATCTCCTCACTCCTCTCCACAGCACAGAGAATCCAGTCAGTCATAAAAATGTAACAAGAAACAACGAAAAACTTAAAAACCTAGAAATGCACAATCAGAATGTGACAACATCAAGAAAAGAAACCCTAGGTGTCCAATGCAAGTTTGATGAGTTGGAAAACACCCCAATGTTTCCATAGCACTGGAGAATTTTCTAGTGCTCCAATGGAATAACACGACTTCCTCCTATACCTCTTTCCAGATCAGCAGTCTCCTGATCAGTCATTAATCACCAGAGGTAATCAAGGCATGGGGATAATAATTTAACTGATTACTTATAACTAAGATATTATTCAGTGCTTTCTAAGTATCAGGCATACACTGAATCCTCATATGAGTCCTAAGAGCAAACTGAGGCACAGAGGACAAAATTACCTACCCAAAGTCACCCAACTAGTAGTAGAATCTGAAGTTAAACCCAGGCAGTCTGATGCTGAAGTCTGCGTCTTTACCACAAAACTATACTATACTAAACATACTAGACATGTTTTTCTTACCTTTATAACATGCTGAGCATGAATCCTGTATGTTAGCACCAGTTTTTCTTTCCCCTAAACTGCCTCATGAAAATACTGTAGGAATTGAATTAAGCTACAAATGACAGGCTTTCAGCTAGAAGGTATTTTATAAATTATTACAATTTCTTTAAAAAGTAATTCTATTAGCTTAGAAATCACTAAAATGGTATCCTTAAAATAGATCACCTTCTTTCTGCTTTTACTCAGTTTTATGATTAATTTAGTACCTCTAAAACAAAGTAGTTTTACATATTGAAACATTCCTCACTGGGGAAAAAAAGGCCTATTTGATATTTTAGTACCCAACATTTCTTTTTAAGGCAAATTCCTTTCCTGCATATAAGATACTAAGAATTAATTTTGTTTCTACTAAAAACAAATGAGAAGTCAAATATACATTTCCTCTAGAGTAATTTAACTTGAAATCAGCCTTCACATTTAGAAAAAAGAGCATAAAACTTTTTCATTATCAATGCTACACAAATATTTACTTTCACTATTTAATGATACATTTAATTAATATGAGAGATACATATACATTTGTGTATATATATACACAGATGCAGAAATAGTGGTCAACTTTTTTGTTTCTCATGTGAGACATTTACTGAACACCTGCTATGTGCTAGGCACTGTTACGTGAGATAGAGGTACAGCAGGGAACAAAACAGACACACATTTCTACCCTCATGGTACTTACATTCCAGACAGGTGAGTCAATTAACAAACAAATGGGAAGAACATATATACAGTATGTCAGATGATGATAAATCGAATGAGATAAAACAAGGCTGGAATTAGGAACGCAGTGACTTATGGGTTTGGGGGAAACTGAGAAGAGAAGGGTGGCAGTCGCTCTTTTCAACAATCTGCCTTCAAAGATCTTTTGTTCATATCAAAGAGGGGAATATGTGGGAATGAATGGAAATCTGGTTCACCCCCTGGCCTAATAAGAAAGAATAAACCCAACGAATGGTGAGATATGAGGGACAAGAAGTCTTTTTAAGAGCAAAAAAGTCAGGTGAGTATTCCCTATGTCCAAAAAGGGCTACACGAATAAGCCCGAAGGGGATTATACAGTTATTTAGTTTCTTTTTATAATCTCATGATCTCACCAAAAATAATAATATTCCCACGTCCACCTCCAACTTATATATAATTCTTAAAATAAGAACACAGTTCAAAACAAAAATCACTATTAAATTCCACATTTGATCAAGGAATATGTGCCATGTGACTATCTCAACATAAAGTTTAGTATCTGAAACCAATTCTGTTAGTATAGACTGGTAAAACTAGATAAAAGGAAATATTATGTAATTTTTTAAAGCATAAAAACTAGATAAAGCAAGATTAGGGAAAAACTGCTAGGTTTCTTAAAAAAATCAGATACATGCACACAAAGTTCTAGGTTTTCAAAAACAACTTCTCAAACCGTTCTGACAGAAATTAACATTTTTCCATTAATATATATACAAGTTAGTATGAGAATATACTCGTTTAAAATCAATTTGTCCTTTTGTATGGAAGTAATAACGTAGATAACTACATTATTCTATTATAGTCACATGATAAATTGCTTCTCATCTGAGCCAAAGGTTCAGGACTCTTTTAAAATTTTAGAATTATGGAGGAATCAAAGGCCTTTAAGACATTAAGTGTTCCCCTATGAGGAAATCCCTTTACAAGATCCCTGATACAATCTATTTCACTGTTTGCCAGCGTTTTAAAAAAAGTAAGTTCCTCCTTATTTCAAATCCTCAATCCTGCCTCCCTCAATTTCCATCTATTTGTTTTAGCTCTTTCTTAGAAAAGATCAAAACAAGCTTATCCTATGTACCCCCAACCTTGGATGTGCTGCTATATACACTCTTACCCAGGGCCTCTTTTCTCCAGTTGAAACATGCCCAGTTCCTTCAACTCTCATTTCTTATACAATAACAGTGCCTGTATTTTAAAGATGCATGTATCATTTCATTTAAACCTCATCCTAAATCTATAAAAGTACAACTTCCTTCCTTCACTTAAAAAATTTACCTTATAAAAGAATGCTTAAGCTTCATAATTAGTCTCTCATGATGACAAACGTGCATATGTCTTACTCATCTTTTGTTTGTGGAAATGCTTTTTGAACCTAAATGAAGTTCTCAAAAGTCATACCAATGAGTCATTACTGGCCATTATTTATTTTTATTTATTTTTGAAGGAATGGGCCACGACATGCATAGCTATTAGCAGACTTAAAAAAAAAAATCACACAAAACAATTAATTTGTTTAGCATAAATGCTTAAAGCAGGTTTTTTTCAAGGTGTAGTCAATAGACCCTCTGAGAGTGCTTGTTAAAAATGGAGATTTCCAGATTTCTCCAGACTATGGAATCAAAATCTCTGGAATGGGGCCTTGGGGATCTATAGTTGAGGAAAAACCTACATAATCTTTGGATACCTTGGGGTTTAAGCATCATGGCATAAAGATTTAAATTCAGCTTTTGCCTCCTAAAGCAGACACTTTAAGCATCTCACCTGTAATCCAGGAATAAATCGAGTGTCCTTTTCAACCACCAGAAGTTCAGCGACGTCGGCATTAAGAATAGATCTTGTGATTCCCCCTGGCCCAGGGCCCACTTCGTAAACATAAGCATTTGTCAGATTGCCAGCTTTCCTTACAATCTTATCTAGAGGAAAAAGAGTTTTAGTTATCTCAATTAACTTGGCAAATTTCAACGTATGAAATTTAGAGAGAAAAATCTTCTATAAAAATTCAGCCATTACCCAATCAATTGATCCTTTATGTATAATATTTATTTGACTATTTAACTCTCTACCTAAATTAACATGAAGTGGCAATCGAATATGCTACCACATCACCATTGAACTGTACCAGTCCCTTAACACACACAGGATTATCATGACAAAGTTTCTTAGCTTAAATTTAGCTAATATTGTAGTTTCCATCTGTCCCATGCAAATTCCTTTCAAACTGATTTGAAACCAACCGACTCCTAAGAACAGACTGGATAAGAATGCAGCACTTTTCTATAGTTATTGAACATTGAATATCTGAATAAGCAATACTAGTTTCACATTCAGAATCTTCAGTATTGCTAGTGAAATCCAAAAGCAAAAAGTGCTGAAGTCTTATTTTTATCTAGAGACATCTTGGTGGTGGTCACTATGGCAATGGCAATAAGTTCTTAGATCGTAAGATTTTCAGAAATTTGAATTCTTAGTCATTTTCAGGAAAAAGTTAAATTGAGCAGTTGAGGGTTTTTAAAGCTTTGCACACATGCATGTTAATACAGAAAAATTAATTTTTTAATTAATCAAATTCAAGTTAGCAGCCCTTAAGACATCATAAAAAGGTAGAGTACTGACTCTGTGCAACCAGTCATCACATCTGGAAAAACATGCAATGGGCTGGTCTTAGTGATTCTGAGATATGGAAATCCAAGGAACTGGTCTTCCTAGGATAGTGGAAATTTAGTCACTAAAAACATACCAGCACTTCTTGTAGGTGTTCACAGTCCTATTTTTGCTTGTTTTCAACAACATAACTTTGTCAGCTAAAATGCGGAAACTAGTTTCTCAGCCATCCAAAAATGGTTTAGTCTTTTAACAGGGAGGGAATTAGCATCCACTGACCATCTTATCTATTATGATGGATTTACACACATTCTCACCTAATCCTTACATGTTAACCAAGGACTCCTATCCCAATTTCATTTCTCTTAACTTTTCAGTTTCCTTGTCTATTGTTTTATTTGTACAAGGTCATGGACTTCAACATAGGTATAAATCCTAAAGCCAATGCCTCTCAGAGGGAACAGGAATGATACATTATGGAATAAATTTAATACTCTCCTTCTTTAAAATGGAGAGCTACAACAGTAGGCAGGTCTCTGCTCTCAAACTTTTCAGGCACATTGAAATACAAATGAATATTAAAGAAGCGCTATCAAATCAATGAGCTTGGATTTCAATCTTGCTCTCTTCTGCCTGAGCTTCTAACCTCAGCTAAGTACCCTCATCTCCGTTAACTCTGGTTCCCATAGAAAGAGTGGATAATATCTAGAATTTGAAACTTACTCCTGAAGATAAAGGCTCATGAGAAAATGTATTTGAAGGATTTTAAAAAATACACAGACCTATAACTTCTGCCCTGAGAATGGTGATTTATATTTAGAATGTGGCTAATAACAAGCAGAAAAGGCTGGTACTAGCTATTACTAGAACCAAAGAATTTTAGAGTGGGCAATCTTTTAAAGTAGTAGGCCCTTCTTCCAATTAAAAGATGAGGAAACTACTGGACATGGTGGCTCACACCTGTAATCCCAACACTTTGGAAGGCCGAGGCGAGTGGATCACTTGAGATCAGGAGTTTGAGACCAGCCTGAGCAACATAGTGAAACCCTGTCTTTACTAAAAACACAAAATTAGCTAGGCACGGTGGCTCACGCCTGTAATCCTAGCTACCTGGGAGGCTGAGGCACGAGAATCACTTGAACCGGGGAGGCGGAGGTTGCAGTGAGCTGAGATCATGCCATTGCACTCCAGCTTGGGCAACAAGAGTGAAACTCCATCTTAAAAAAAGAAAAAAAAAAAAAAGAGAAAACTTGAGTTAAATTATTTTATCCAAAGTCATATTGGTACAGGCAGAATAAAGACTACATGTCCAAGAAATAAAACATTTTATGTTTTCTGGAGTGTGCTTCATTTAAGTGAAAATGAACTTTTTGGGTGTGATTTACTGCTCTTTTCAACTTCTGAAGTGGGACTAAATAGAATGAAATATGAAAATCTCAAAACCTAAGTACTCCAGCCGTGACTTAGTAGACGTATTTGTAATATATTTTTGCAACCTCATCTCATAGAACATCACTAAGCAATGGTGATGGTGGTTAAACCAATATATAAATACATTCGTCAAAACTCATCAAATTGAGCACTTCAAACTTATTAATTTTATTGCACATAAATTATATCTCATAAAAAGTAACTTTAAACAATTAGGTGTGGGAATGTAAACTTGCTAAAAGTAAGCTCCTCGAGGAAACACCGCCTTGTTCACGCCCATATCCTACCCCCGGCACTAGCACAATGTTGCTTGTGTAATATGTACTTATGAATGAATATTAGCGCCCCCGAGGCTTAGACTGAACAGGTAAACGTTTAAAAAACGAATCATACGAGGGATACTCTTTTCACCAAGTTATTGATAAAATCCTCGCATCAATTTAAATTCTGGTAACTTTAAACTGCATGTAAAGCAACTGCAGTCAGCATGTGCTGTACTATTTCAGAATGATTGATTTCACAGTGACCCAGATTCCAATATTCACTAGCGCCTTTCACGACCCATGAACCCTTCCTCCCCTAGGGAGCTTGGCATTTATGCAGCCTGCCGGCAGGCTACACCCCCCCGAACGCGGAGTTTTGTGAGCAATCAACGCACTTCACGTGTCTCCTGGGCGGTGGGACCGGAGTTCTGATACAAAGAGGTCGAAGGACCTGACCAAAAGCCCGTCGCACGCCAGTGCCTGGACACCCGCCCGCGGGGACGTGCAAGACCCCCCGGCCCACGCCCCCACGGACACTGGGGAGACATCCGGGGAGCACTGCTAAGCCATCCACCTGTCAGCCTCAAGTCCAGGAGGAAATTCTGTGATAGCTGCTTCGCTGCTTGCAGTCTTAACAACTTAATGATTTCTCGAATCGTGGGCAACGGAGGGAGACGGCAAGTGCTGAGTTTTCCGGAGGCAGCCATGATACGCGGCAAGCACCATCCAACCCTACCTCACCCAGGACCTTCACCGCCGCTCCGAAAGAAACGCGCAGGGGAGGAACCTGCGAGACCTAAGGCCCGCCTCGGAGTCAGCCCCATTGGTCAGACCTATCCCACCGGAAGCGATGACCGCGGACAGGAAATTCCCGGCGTGCTGAGAGCGCATGCGCTAAGTCCTGCCGCGAGAAGGGCAGGCTGGGTGGTCGGCGGCTTCCGCCTGTGAGAGCCGGGGGAGAGCCGGGTGGACTAGGCTTCTCCTGGGCGGGCTATGGGGAGAGCGCCCAGGAGGGCGGGACGAGGCGGGGCCTGGACAGGGTGGGGTTTTTCGGAGGAGTTGCTCTGAGAGGTGCAGCCGGTTTACTCCCGCCCTGAAGTTCCCAAGGGCTTCCGGCTCTTTAACGTTCTAAATACCTGTCTGTGAATATTAGAGGAAAAGCGGGTGCTTAGAGGCAAAGCTACTGTTTGTTAGCAATTCTTTCTTACTGTGAGGCGTTTTTAGAACCGCCGCTCTGCAGATGCTGCATGATGGGTTTTTAACTTCGTTCAGCCTCAGTTTTTTCATCAGTTAAATGGAGCTAATGTCTACCTCAAAATTGTGAGCACTAAATGAGAGAGATCGCCTGGTGTGCACGTTCAGAACATAGTGCACGCATGGCATTGGGTAAGCTCCCACGTGATCAGTGGTGGCTGTTATTATTTGGCAGATGAATAATTGGCCAGTGTAAAGAGGTCATTCGATTTGCTAGGATTACAGCTAAGAACAGAGAGAAGACTGAAATATGAGTTCTGTCTTTCCGTTATACGAGATAAAAACAACGAAGCAAAAAAAAAAAAAAATTAAAGTTTCTCTGATAGGTGGGAGAATTTTGCTGTTTTAACCCTGCTTATGTTTGGACATTGCTGCGTTGATCACAAATGAATTTTAAAGTTTCTGTTCCTCAATTAGTAAGTTTTTAAAAAAGCTAATGGAAAACGAAACAACTATGGGTATGGATATAAAAATGAGGAGTACTTTGAAATTCCAGTGGAAAACTCAACCACCTTCTATAAAAGCTGTTTTAAAAGGAACTGAGATAATCTCCTAGCTTTAAAAAATAGTGATGACTACCATAGAGGTAAGGAGATTTGCCCAACGTGGCATCAAAATGTAGACTGGAAGTACAAACTCTTGATTCAGATATCTTATCGTCCAAAACACAGTATACCTGACAAAGCATTATTTCACAGTTATATTCATTATTTCCCGTACTCCTCACAATGGTCCCATGTGAATGAGATTATTATTCTTAGTTTGCTGTGAAGAAATAGGGGAGGTGAGGTCATTTGACAATGCCCAGAGTCAGACAGCAAAGTACAGAGAGAAGACAACCTGAGTTGTGTTTTTTCTGAGTTCTGATCTCACTGGCCACACTCAAGTATCAGCTTATTATTTTTAAGTTAATATGTGTTAATTTTGTAACATCTAAATATATAGAAATACGAATCTAGGTGTAAACATAAGCTTACAGTTTTCATATGACTATTTAAAACAATTGCAATAAATATATACAAAACCAATACAAATGGTCTTATTAATTGACAAGGATGAACACTGTTAAATCACGACACTTAGTGCTAACTGGCAGGTTTTCTTTTTTTTTTTTTTTTAAGTTTCAGCCTACCAGTGATCCAGTGTGCCATGTAATGACTGAATGTTCTCATTAGTTTTCTGGAGTCAAACTATTACCAAATCTTTGTTCAATTTTTTTTCCATTGTCGCTTGTCTTTCTTTTGGAAGAATATGGAAGCTACATATTAAGTCTGCCTGCATCTGTTTTCAGTAGCTTGGAAACAAGTGAATTTGAATTATTTGGCACTAATGCTACCATGAACACACACGTTGTGTAACAGGTATAAAGAGGATGTTCAGATGACCCCAAATATAATCACATGAGCTTTTTAAAAGATTAACATCAACATAAAAACAAACTAAAATCTAAATGAGTGAAACACCTTTGCGTGGAGAATTTGTAGATTCCTGATAATTTGTCCCCAGATCTAAATATGAATTTATGGATGGTTTATACCATGCCATCTTCAATAACTGAACCTATTTATAAAGCAGCTTCCTTTGTTACTTAATTCTCATTTCAATTCTGTGATGTAGGTTCACAAAGATGTGTCTTAGTTCATTCCTGCTGCTATAACAAAATATCTGAGACTGGGTAATTTATAAAGAACAGAAATGTACTTCTCACAGTACTGGAGGCTGAAAGTCCAAGATCAAGGAGCTGGCAAGTTTGTTGCCTTGTGAAGGCTGCTCTCTTTACCTCAAGATAGCATCTTGTTGCTGCATCCCCCAGAAAAGAGGAATGTCATGTCCTCACATGTCCAAAGGCAGAAGGGCAAAAAGGGATTAGCTAATTCCCTCCAGCTCTTCATAAGGTTGCTAATCCCATTTATGAGAGCTCTACCTCAATCAATTAATCACCCACTTAGGGCCTCCCTGTCAATATACTATCACATTGGTGATTTAGTTTCAGCACATGAATTTTGGGGGACATTCAGACCATAGCACAGTGCTTTGCTAGTAAGTGGTGTAACTGAGTTTAGATCTTCTGACTGCACTGTGCTTTTTATTAACCTCTGATACGTGTTAAATAATTTTTTAACTGAGTTAAAAATTCTAGCTTAGGAGAATCTTCCAAGTTTTTAATAGTTCTTGAGATCCAATTTTTATCATAAATATCTAATCCTCAGTTTTTAATTTTCAGAAAATTATGCATAACTCCCTGCAAAAGCCTAAGAAATCAGCAGGGGGTGTTTTAGTAGTGTATTTCACATATTAATGCAAATGGTTTTATCCCTTAAAAGAGAGGTATGCAGTTTCATCAGTTTTGAAGCTTTGAAGTGTCTGCTTCATCTAGATACAGATTTTAATATGCTAAAATATTATAATTAATACAGAAATCACTAGCCCCACCTGTCAGTGAAGATGAAGAACTACAAATGATTCATGCTAAACTATATTGTAGTATTCTAATTTGCGTAAAATCCCAAAATGATTATGTAGGAAAATTACTTATTATTTTAGTATTTACTTTAATAAAAATGCATATGTGACTTTATTTGGTATAAGTGATTTAGTCTCTATTTATAGAAAAAGTGCTAATTTTAAAAGGTTGTCATTTTACCGTTCCCTGAAAGAGACTTGAAAGCTGCAGAGAGCAATATCTTCCTGCCATGTGGGAATTTTCAGAGAAAATTAAATGTGGCTTGGAATTGCCAAATTGAACTTTATAAAATGACTATTATGGTATGTAAAGTGCCCTTTTCCGATAGTATTTTATAATTACATATAATATGATTCAATGCTCCAGAGAAATACTAAGAGCTGCATTTCACACATATTTAGGGTTTTTTTTGTTTTAATGGCTCTTTGATGCACACTGTTCATTCACAAAGGAATCTAGTGACCTACCTAGAGGGAAGAAGGAAAAACGTGATAACTCTGAGCAGACGGACCAAATGCTTATTCTGTGGGGATAGAAGTAGGGCAACTTATGGCAACAACACGAGCTAATTGCCTGAGGGAACCATGGAACACTTACACTATTTTTGAAAATACAGCGTTTATCCCTGTTTCAAGCAGTATTTGAAAGCCTGCTCATTGTCCCCAAAGGTCTGTGAATTATTGCCAAGTATCCTAATAAGATGTTGAGGATGGGCAACTCGTTCGACTCAGGGAGCTATGGGTAGGGCTTTTTCCTATACAGTAAGCAAACCTTTTTGTGAATGAAGAAAATATGCTAACAGCATTATAAACGAATTAGCCTTTATTATATAGGCAAACCTTTGAGATACTATGGGTTCAGTATCAGACCACCAAAATAAAGTGAATATCTCCATAAAGTGAGACAGATGAAGTTTTTGGTTTCCCAGTGCATATGAAAGGTATGCATACATTCTATTGTTGTCTATTAAGTGTGCAATAGCATTATGGCTACAAAAAATATGTACATACCTTAATTTAAAATACCTTATAGCTAAAAAAATGCTAACGGTCATCTGAGCCTTTAGTGAATGTTAACCTTTTTGCTGGTAGAGGGTCTTGCCTTGACTTGATGGTTGCTAACTGATCAGGGTGGTGTTTCTTAAAATAAGACCGTGAAGTTTGCTGCATCTTTTAACTCTTTTTGTGAAAGATTTCTCTGTAGCAGAGAATGCATTTTACCCATGGTAGAACTTCTTTCAAAATTGGAATGAGTCCTTTCAAATTCTGCCACTGCTTTATCGACTAAGTTTATGTAATATTCTAACTCTTTTGTTGGCATTTCAACAGTGTTCACAGTATCTTCACCAGGAGTAGATTCCATCTCAGGAAACCACTTTCTTTGTTAATTCCTAAGAAGCAACTCCTCATTTATTCAAGTTTTAACATGAGATTGCAGAAATTCAGTCATATCTTTAGGCTTCACTTCTAATTCCATTTCTCTTGCTACTTCTACAATATCTGCCATTACTTCCTCTACTGAAGTCTTAAACCCCTCAAAGTCATCCATGAGGGTTAGAAACCACTTCTTTCAAACTTCTGTTAATGTTGATATTTTGGCCTCCTCCATGAATCATGAATGTTCTTAATGTCATCTAGAATGGTGACTCCTTTGTAGAAGGTTTTCAATTTACTTTGCCCAGATCCATCAAAGGAATTACAATCTAGGGCAGCTATACCATTACAAAATGTGTTTCTTACCTAATAAGACTTGAAAGTAAAAATTACTCTTTGATTCATGGGCTGCAGAATGGATGTTATGTTAGCAAGCATGAAAACAATATTAATCTCCTTGTGTATCTCCATCAGAGCTCTTGGGTGGCCAGGTGAGTTGTCAGTGAACAGTAGTATTTTAAAGAATCTAAAGAATCTTTTTTTTTTTTTCCTGAGCAGTAGGTCTCAACAATGACTTAAAATATTCAGTAACCATGCTATAAACAGATGTACAGTCATCCAGGTTTTGTTGTTTCATTTCTAGAGCACAAGTAGAGTAGATTTAGCATAATTCTTACTTGCCCTAGAATTTTTAATAAGATAAATAAGCATTGGTTTCAACTTAAAGTCAACAGCTTCATTAGCCCCTAATAAGTGTTAGCCTGTTGTTTGTGGCTTTGAAGTCAGGCATCAAATTGTCTTCTCTAGCTATGAAAGTCCTAAATGGCATGTTCTTCCAATATAAGGCTGTTTTGTCTACATTGAAAATCTATTATTTAATATCACCACATTCATCAATGATCTCTTCATCCCCTCAACACCTGTATCCCATACCGTCATCGATTCCCAAAATCCTATCTCCACAACAGATCTCACACTTGACCTCTCCAGTTCTGCTGCCAGCATCTTTCACTTTCATTCCTGCAACAGCTTTCAGTCTTGTTCTACAATACATTTATATTCAGCAGCAAAATGATCTTTAAAAGTGGAAATTGGATCACTTCACTTATCTGCATACAGCCCTTCGGGGGCCTCCCATTGCATTTAAAATAAAAATCTAATCGCTCGCTATGGACTAAAAAACCTATGTCCAACCTCATATATATCCACCTTCCTGGAGATAAGCTGTGGCCATGCTGGTCCTCTTTCAGTTCCTCAAACATGCCAAGTGCTTGCTTCCTCTCTTTTCTTGCATATGCAGTTTTTCTCTGCCTGGGATGATCACCTCCCACTCTTCAGCTGGCTATCGCCTTTTCTTTCTCTGTCTCAACTTCAAGGTGACCTCTTCAGCTAGAGCTTTTCTTGACAAATTCTAACAAGGGAAGAACCTAATTTGACCTTTGACAAGCTCTCCTTAAGAGTTTGCTCTTCTATTGCTTCCTTCAATTTTTTTATTATTATTTTTTTTTTACCATAGTCTTAAGTGTCACATCAACACATTTCCTCCAAAGGTTCCATCTTGGTAGAACAGGTTCAGGTTCAGAGTACAGAACTGCTCCTCTTTTTCTCTATCAATGTCTTTGCTAACTGACCTACCAAAAGGTGACAGTCAATGTCTAACAATCAGAAAAAATGCCAGAGGTCACAGAGCTGGAGTTAGATCTAGATCCTCAGGCCAAGCATTAACTCTTTGGTTGGTGGTTTATGAGGACTTCTAGGAAGTCTTAAGGGAGAATCCAGTGTGGCTCAGGCACCAGTGGTGGGTATTTTGGGGAGCCTGGGAGTATCTATTTTTGGCAGTTGTGGCTGTGTCCTAATTCAGTATTGTAACAAGTATAATATGGCCATTCTGGTACATTCAGACTAAGTATCAGTCAGTCCTGTTTCTACTCAAGGGTCTCACTACCTGTTCTGTGACTCTTCATCTCAGTCTTGTTTGCCCCCTTTGGTACAACTACCCTTTATTTTCGTTATTATTTTTGTTGCTTATTTGTTTTTCTGTATATATGTCTGTCTTCCCTACTAAAATGTAGGATCCATGAAAACAGGGCAGTATCTATTTGTTCACTAAAGTGAACCAATTGTTCACCTAGAAAAAATGCTGATACACAATGGATATTTAATACATATTTGCTAAATAAATGAATGAAAATGACTTCCTCTGATTAGTTAGGCTACATTTTATTTTCTATAAGAATATGCAACTCCAAAATTTATAGCTGTTTTCAAACTTTTAAAAGTCCTAGGTAGATCTTTTTGTAGACTGTCTTATATTTCTTCCCAAGAACCCCTAACATGAAGCCATCACAGTAGCCTTTCCAAGAAGTTTATGTTTCTAAGTCAGATCTCTTTCTCCACCTCATGCTCCTCTTTAGCTTAAAATTTTTCCTGGTTCCTTTTTTTCCACTTACAGGGAGAATGTTCAGATCTCTTACTATGCCACTCAAGGTCTGACACGATCTGGGTCTAAATTCCTTTCTAGTTGCATTTCTGTCACACCTTCCTTTATTTCCTTAGTATATCCTGAGACCTGCTACTCCAAAAGAATGCCTCTGCAACTTTATCCGCTTTGTGGGGCAAAATCCTATTCATTTTTCTGGGCCCAACACAAGTGTGACTCCTTGTGAGAAACTTTTTGATATTTATTGACCACCTTCTTGTCACGCTGTCCACTCTGGTCCTGATCCCTTCCACTCTGAGGTCCTGTTGTGCTGCATTCATAAACCCAGCAGAATCCATGTTGCATTTTGCAATATAGTAACTTGCATCATCATATACTGCATTGTAATATAATATAATTTCAGGGCCTCCTTTGTCAGACTCTCAGCTCTTCAAAGAAAACAGCGTATTTTATTCATCTTTGTGTATGCAGCACTAGCAGGGTGCCTGGCACACAAGGGGCACCAAGATATGTTTCCTGACCAGACCTAAACCATGGAGATTGTTGCCAGTTTTAGACACAAACTGTACAGCAAACTGTATTGAATAGAGCAGGGGTGCTGGAGTTAAGAAAACTTGGGTAAAAATCCAGGCTCCATCCTCCTTTTACTTATGTGACCTTGGGCAAGCTACCTAATCTTTTTGGAACTTAGTTTTTGTGGTAAGCAGAAAAATGGCCCCCAAAGATGTTCACATTCTAATCTCTGGAAAATGTGAATATGTGAGGTTACATGGCAAAAGGGAATTTAGGTTGCAGATGGAGTGTAGGTTGCCAGTCAGCTAACTTTAAGACAGGGAAATGATCCTGGATTATGCGGGTGAGCCCATTGCAATCACGAGTCCTTAAAAGTGGAAAAGAGAATTGGAAGAGAGAGCCAGAGAGATGACAGTGTGTGAAGGACTTGGCCTGATGTTGCTGGCTTTGCAGATGGAGGAAGAAGGTGGAAGAGGTTCAAGAGGCAAGAAGGTTGAGCATCCTCTGGAAGCTGGAAAAGGCAAAGAATTTGATTCTCCCCTAGAGCCTCCAGAAAGGAAGGCAGCCCTGCTGACATCTTGATTTGAGCTCAGTGAGAGCCATTTCAGACTTCTAAATGACTGAACTATAGGATAATACACTTGTGTTGTTTTGAGCCACTAAGTCTATGGTAATTTGTTACATCAGCGACAGAAAACCAATGTAGCTGCTTTGACTGTAACATGAGAATAGTAACAGATGCCTTATAGCATTACAAAATATGTATTATGTCTCATTATACTTCATAAGACAATGCATGTAATGGACCAAATATAGTGCCTAACACACTGAAGTTGTTTCATAAATTCATTAATTCTCTTCTCCTTCCCTCTTCCTGTGTGAACATGCTCATCTAGTAGACATAGATCTAGCTATATATAATCAACATACAAATTGTATGGTATTAAAATAAATGTTCTAATGGTATTGAAATGAAATAACCGTCAGGATATAGTTCCCTTATTGTTGTAACATATGACAAAGTAAGCTCGGAAGATTACTGCTCATTTATTATTCTGTAGCTTTCATAAAAGATGATTTTTCCTTCTGCAGATTTTTATTGAGCTTGGCTGTTGCATATTAACTCTTCATTCTTTTGCTTCATTATTTAGAGGCATTGACAATTTTAACACTGGAGAGTTATCTTCAGGACAGAATTACAAATGTTATACCTTAACACTAGTGCATCATTTGATCTTAACTGTTGTCCACTTTGAAACTATTCATTTTAGGCCTATTTGGCACCTTTCTTGTTCTTTTTGGGGATGGGAGTGAGGAAGGGTCAGTGGTTTCTAATTCAGCAGAAAGGTTTAGGTAACAATTATACCAAATCAAGTGGAGGTGCAAAATATAAAATCTTGAATTATCATAATAAAATGTTAAATTGTGTTGTGAAATTATATACATTATGTTGTGATGGAAATCCTGTAATTTTAGATTATCTTCAAAACCGTTTGCTTAAAAGTCTTATAAATGGTAGGGACTATGGGGAAGGAAAGAAGAGTGCTGGCTTAGGACTATAATAACTACAACAGTTCATTTATCTTGCATTATGTTTTATTATATCATGTCATAATATAATATAAACATCATACCCTATCATAGCATATCATATTATAATTTATATATTATTTACGAGTTAAATAGGCTTTTGTAGTTTCACCTAGGAATCCAATTATGGCTTAAACTGTTTTTAGTTTAAAGTTTAGTTTATTTTTAGTTTAAACTGTGTTTAAGTCATGATGGATTCCTAGGTGAAACTACAAAAGCATATTTTAATGACTTCCTATTTCTATAGGAAAAATGCCTACCAAATTCCAATGAATTTAGGAATGATTTGTTGCAGATTGCCAAACCAAGTTTTTGTAACTGTCCCTGTTATTCTTATTCTCTTGTGCTTCGATCTACAGCCAACGGTTTTTTTGGTTTTTTGTTTTTGAGACAGAGTCTCGCTTCTTCACCCAGTCTGGAGTGCAATGGTGTGATCTCAGCTCACTGCAATCTCTGCCTCCCAGGTTCAAGCAATTCTCCTGGCTCAGCCTCCCCAGTAGTTGGGATTACAGGCATGTGCCACCACGCCTAGCTAATTTTTGTGTTTTTAGTGGAGATAGGGTTTCACCCTGTTGGCCAAGCTGGTCTTGAAAACTCCTGACCTCAAGCGATCCACCCACCTCGGCCTCCCAAAGTGCTGGGATTACAGGCGTGAGCCACCATACCCGGCCCCAACCCTTTATTTCTCATATGTATTATTCAAACTTTTTAGACCATGACCCACAGTAAGAAATGCCTTTTACATTGTAACCCTATGTATACACCCACCCACCCACACATTTAAAAGTTTGATAAAACATTCTATATGTGTGAAGCAATCTTTTACAAACTATTTTCTAAACTATTTGCCTTTTAAAAAGTGATTGTTACAAAACTTATTATAATAATTATTACTGCCCAATAATGGGTTATGACCTGCTGTTTGTAAAACACTGTCTTACTTTCTTATTAGTGCCTAAGCCTAAAGAGTGTAACATGGTATACTGATCCATTATCTCTGTCAGTTTTCCTTCATTCGCTTGCCATGACTATCTTTGTAACTCAGATGACAGACTTTTTTTGTTTGCTTTTTAAGTTTGGGAACCACTAGCAGTGCAGGTCACTAACAAATGTGGTAGGCATGTAATTTAAATGTATATACTCTCAACTTAATTTATTGTAAAATGTAATGATTCGTGTCCTGTGAGAAAAGTTGTGTACTATTTTCCCACTCTCTTATATGCATTGGCTTTTTGGGAGTCTTGTGGTGTATGTCCTTTTCTTGTGTATTAAGTGGAACATAGAGCATTTTGCTTCTTTTTTTTTGTTACAGGAAAAAGGGCCTTCACTGTTAGAGGAAGCTTTGGGAAGAAATGGTCCTGGAAGCTTATATAATTTAGGAGGCTTTCTTTAAGAAAAGAATACCACATTATAAATGTAAAATTAAGTATCAAAACCATTTATTTGGACTAAGAAAAGGACTGACAAGAAATGACAGATACTTAATGACAAACAGCACAAAAAACAACATCCTGAAAAGTAATAGAATATTTTTTATTTTAAAAGTAAATGAATACATTTTATTTTATTTAGCCTAATATTTAATCGAATTTCCTACTTTCAGACTTCTTTGATAATTTTTCCCTTCCATTTCTGAAAGCAAATTCTTTAGTTTCATCTTCATATGATAATGTTTTAGGAATAACATTCCATAGAGAGAATAGAAAGATAATTTAGTCTTTCTTCTACCATGATGGATTACAGTTTGTTTTTTATTTTTGATAATTTAGAAACATTTCATATAGCTTTCACAACTCATAGTTGACAATGTCATGTAAATTGTTAGGACTGTTCTCAAATTTGGAAACCTCTATTAAGTTTTTGGCACATATGATCTGTTTGTTTTCAAGGCATTTCAAGCTTTCTAGTGCACTATCCTATGTTGAGTACTTTGAATTAATGACAGTCATTAACCAGTTTGTCATAGGTGTACTCATTGTGGTGATGTATTTTGAGTTTATATTTTATTCATTGATATCAATATTTGGTGTCAAAAAATTGGGGTATTTAATTTTTTCCAGTGTATTCACATGACTCACTTGTGTTTATTAATTGTGTTATCAAATAATCCATAAGCCTATCATTATTTTTACTCTATTCTTCTGACTGCATTTGATATGCTGAATGTTTTTGTTGCAATTTACTTCTTGATATTGAAATAATTTCTATTGATTTTATTGCTCACTCTGTTGCTTTTGTGTCTTACTCTATTACTTTTTTATTGACATTTTCTCTCAGTTCTTTAAATACTTGATTTAAAGATAGCAGAAAGAACACTCCATATTCTCCCAACAGGAGTCTGTAATTTTACATTTATTTTACTGAAATGTTCTGAAACATCTTGCCAAATTTCAGTTAAAATGTGTATTTCTAACTCAATTTCCCCTTTAGCTAGATTCCCAAAGTACTCTCCGTCACCAGAATACAACCTGAAAAGAGACAGTGGTCTTGACTGACTAGGGTTAAAATGTCTTGCCTTTGTAAATTTTACAAAAACATATACCATGTGAGTAGATTTCTAGAGCCCTTCCCAAGGCTTGAAAATGGCTTGTTCGAGTGATAGGCCCTGACATTTCAACTTCTCATGCTTCCTAGTTAATCTGCTTGTATACAGGGAGAAAGGCCAGACTGAACAACCTCTTGGGACACCATTATTAGAGACTAGATGTGTCATCAAGGCAAAACAGGGCTTCTCTACAATGCAGAGTCAGTTGTTTGTATTCCCTGAAAATCAGGCCCTGAGGCAAGGGTGTGGATGCAGGTTGTTTGTTTAATTGCCCCTCCTGGAGAGGTAATCCCAGGAAGCACAAGTGAGGAAGTCGGGAAAATGCCATGGGAAAAGGAGAAAGGCCAATTCCAGGGGTTAGGGAGTAGTTTCATGTTAGGGCTCCAGGGCAACTGGGGCTCAATCCCAGGGGATCTTTTGAAAAACCGTGTGCAGCCCAACTCAGCATTGTCCCACCAGAAGCTGGGGAGGCTCCAAAGCCCCCAGGCATGGAAGACAGCAGGGGAGGTGGGGAGCTGTCAGTTTGCCTGGATCACAGCTGCAGATGAACTCAGGAGGACCATACGGATCTGGGGTGGGGCAAAGCCAGGCAGCATCCGCTACCCTCTGTGAATCTTATTCACCTGAGTTTAGGAACTCAGAATTATTTAGAGTGATAAGGACTCTTCAATGTTGTGGATCTTTCTCATGCCATAAAGAGGATTTTGAAGTTAGTGGACAATGTGAAGTCATCCCTAACTTGCCAGAGGAAGTGTTCAAATCCAAGTACTGAAATTCTAGAATCAAGACATTTTGAACCAGAGATGAGTATTCTTTTTTTTTTTTTTTTTTGAGACGGAGTCTCCCTCTGTCGCCCAAGCTGGAGTGCAGTGGCGCGACCTCGGCTCACTGCAAGCTCCGCCTCCCGGGTTCACGCCATTCTCCTGCCTCAGCCTCCTGAGTAGCTGGGACTACAGGTGCCCGCCACCATGCCCGGCTAATTTTTTGTATTTTCAGTAGAGACGGGGTTTCACCATGTTATCCAGGATGGTCTCGATCTCCTGACCTCGTGATCCGCCTGCCTCGGCCTCCCAAAGTACTGGGATTACAGGCGTGAGCCACCAAGCCTGGCCAAGTATTCTCTTTAAACTGAAAGAAGGCATAGTTAGAATTTCTAATTGCCTTTAATTAAATCTATCACCTCCTAAGTATAAACAAAAGTGGTGAAATATTTTTGGATATACCAACAATGAACAGTTCATTAATGAGAATGAATTTTACCTTTCTGACGGTTCCCATTACATAACTTTATTCATTTTGAGGAAGGCAAGGGCTGACCATTTTATGCTCATCTACTATGGTCACCTATTAAAGGCTGGAATTATGATAATCCAAGGGGGAAAATAAAATATTTAAAATGAGATTGGTCTAAGTAGGAGAATGAACATCAGGCTAAGTGTTAATTTTGTCCCATTTAGTCAGCTCCATAAATCTTGAGAAGCCATTTTTCTTCTCTGTGCCTCAGTGTCCTCATCTGTATGTTAGAGGGCTTGGATTGGCTGATCCTGAAGGTCACCTCCAGTTCTGAGGTAGTCCTTGAAAACATGAGGACTGAAGCCTGGCCTAAGGCATGGGTCTTATTGTGGTATTGTGGACTTGACCAAATGTTAACCTTTCTGACCTTCAGTTTTCTCCTCAGAAAAATGAAGGGGCTGGGCTATTCTTTAAGGACACCTCTGTTCTGCAGTCCAGATAAATAAAAGTGTGAGGGGAAAAATCTGGAAAAATGCATAGAGTGAAGCTCAGCATGGCCACTGGGTGGCGATCTTGTTCCATGTTAAGAAAAATTTTATGGCATTTACCAAGAGTTTCAAAGTTTGACTTAGCATAGTGAAGAAAGACTTTCAAAAGGATAAAAAAACAGGGCAGCAAAAACCAGAATTATGGGGGAAGTGACAATAAACAGCAATGCCAAATAAGAGACATAAAATCCCTGTAGCCAAGGCAGTAAAACATAGAGGGGTATATGAGAGTTGTGTTTTGGGTATTATTTAAAGGAATATAGGGAGAGGAGTACATTGTAAATTCACATAGTTTTTGAAAAACATGACATAAAAGTTAACTCTAACATTTAAAAATTAAACTTGTAGAATTACCAAATACCTTAAGACTGTGCTAGAGTACTGAAGTCTAAACTTGAACAATCCAAACCAAATCAGTAAACATTTGTTATTTCTTTTGTTTAAATCTCAAAGGAACACTTAAGGGAATTGTAACACTGTTCCAATCTTTTGATATTAAATCAAGTGAGCCAATGAACAAGTTGTGAGCTTTTTTGCATTTTATGGGAGGAGGTGGTCTGTCTCACTTACCTTGAGAATCTTGGGATGATTGTTCCTGGGGCTAGCCATTGCCCCTGCATTGGGTTGAGGGCCATTTCTCGGGGAAGAGCCGAGCATTGGGAGGAATGCAGAGGATAAAGGTTCTCTGATCATAGTGCCGCCCACCTCTATCTCTAGAAAAGGTTATATTCAAAGAAAAACACAATTTTCCCACCAAAGCACCACTCGGCATGAAGGGAAGAACCCAGAGACTCGAAGAGGACCAGGTTCACACTCCTGAAGATGGCAGATTATGTCTCATGCAATAAGCCGAGATCTGACAGCCAGAGGATGACTAGGCCACAGTCTGCCATTTCCTGTTGTTGACTTTTCTGTTCACCATCCCCTCTGGTTTTCTCCCAGTTAGTCCTTATCCTCCTTTTGCTAGGTGGATACAGGTTTCTTCTGAGGGCCAAAGCCTGGGCCCTATTGCTCTGGTTGCCATGGCTGTTTCTTTTCTCTCCTTTCCTTTGATACATTAGCTATTAGCTTACGTAATCCTCTCACCGGTGGATGTTCCCATTCAAAAGGCAAAAAAAAAGTTATATTGCTAAGTAACCTTTAACAATGAATACCATTCATTATGTATTTGCTTAATGATACAAAGGCATTGTTTGCTCTATTGCAGGTGATAACAGCAGATCAAAGACCCCGAGGCCGCCGGAATGTGCTTGAGAAGAGCCAGCAGAGACTGTGTGGAAATTATGCTTAGCATTTATGTTGCACTTTATACTCTTAAAGGATTCTGCAATTATTAATTAATTATCCCACACAATAGCTCTATGAGGAAGGTCAGTGTCAGTAGCTTTATTTTACAGATGAAGAATCAGATAGCAGTTAAGCGATTCCCCCCTTCCCACCTCAACATTTAAAGATCTCATGTCAAAGCAGACCTGGGGTGGGGGCAGCAGGTAAGTTACAAAGTGACTGAAGAGTAAACAGACTAGGGCTGCCTCTTGCCCAGGCTCCACTTCCTTTGATCTGTCTTTTGAAAGCCCTCTGAACATAAGCTAGGTTCTGGACTTGCATACTGCCTCCCTGGGCAGCCTAGTTGCTCTTGCTGTGCTTGTCTTTTCTACATATCCACTGTTGTGTGTGTAATTTTAATTTCCTTTTCATTCATTCATTCATTCATTCATTCATTCAATGAAACTTATTTGGGCATTTATTGTAGTTGATTTGGTTAGGAATATAGAAATGAAAAACATGATTCTTGCCTTTGAGGAACTTCAATTTCTTAATAGGGACACACACAGACACACACTGCTGGAGGACATGGGATGAAAAAGGTGTTAATTCTTCTTGGCAGCATCACGAAGGTCTACACTGAGGAGATGGTGTTTGAGCCAATCTCTTGATAATGCCATGCTTGTGATCCAAGCAGCAGGATCCTGATGGTCCCTAAAGGAGAGATGATAGAAGGTATCCTGAATGTCGGCGACTTCACATTTGCGAAGGCCAAAGCCTGTTAGGTCAGGCCTCCTGTTGGCTAGTGTGATAGACTCTTATCCTATAGTGTTTTAATTATTTGTGTGAATGTTTTCCCTTTTTACGAGACTAGAAACAATTTTAAAATGAGGACAAATTCTGACGGCCCACAGCATATTGTAGGGAATAACAGCAGGAATAGCTACCATGTATCGAGTAAATGAGCCTATTCTGTTTAGTGCTTTACATAGCTGATTAAGCCTGCCAAAAACCTTTGAGGCAGTATTGTTCCCCCACACTGTTTTTTTTTTTTTTTGGGAAAGTTTAAGTAATTTGCTCATAGCTACATAGTTCTGTGTGCTATTGAACAAGCTTATAGTCCCCACATGTAGCTTATAGTCCACGGCAGAAGACAGACATTAACCAATAATAACCATATATCAATGTATAATTACAACCTGTAATAAAGTCTCTGAAGGAAAAAACAAAACATGCAGTATAGGAGAAGCTAGCACAGAATGACCAGATCTGCCCTTGGGCCAGTAGACGTGAGGAGAGATATGAAGGAAAGGCCAAGGTCAGGGAGCGCGTACCTGGAGGTTCTGATGGTGAGGCTGAGTAATGAAAGATACGTGGGTGTTAGGTAGTCCAAAGAGAAAGCATGTGCAAAGGCCCTGGTGTAGGAGGGAGCTGGGAGTATCTGAGAATCAGCAGGCAGGTCTGCTGTATAGAGGAGATGACTGGAGAAGGAGAGGTGGCACATCTTGTAAGATTGTGTAGGCTAGGATAGAGCTTGATGTTTAGAAATGATAGGCATTGCATTCGCAGGTTTTAAGGGAATGCATTCTTTGATGAGATGAATAGTCAATCTGGGTGCAGTGGGGAGAGCAAATGGGAGAGGAGTCAGAGTGTGAGAAGGGAAAGTGGTTAAGAGGGTATTATAGTAATTCTGGGGTGAAATAATGGTGAGGCCAGGGTGGCAATGGTACACAGGGTGAGAAACATGTGTGTGAGATATTTGCAAAGTCAAGGACAGGTCTTGGCGATGGGTGCGAAGAAGTGGGGTGGGGAGGGAAAGGAAGGTGTCAAGGCTGATTCCCAGGTTCCTGGCTTGGACAGGTGAATGGTTGGAGATATATATAGGATGTGGTTTTGTATGCTGGAGGGGGACCAGGAGTTTGAGAGGAAGGGTTCTTGAGTAGGTGGCAGAGGAATAATTTGAATCTAGGTCTGTTTTTCATCAAAATGTGCTTCTCATCAATTCCTGAAACATACACATATTTTTGGAAATCCACACTGAATGACTCTTCCATCTTGCTAGTTCTGATCAGCTTCTATTGTCACCACTGTGATCTTCCGGAAGAAATGCATTCACTTTTGTTGCATAATCAATAAGTGACATCGGTGGGAGAAATGTCCATCCGGACCGGAAGGTATGGGAGGTCCTTTTTGGGAGGTGATACCTGTAATTCCTCAAACCTTGCTATTCAGCAGTGAGAGTTACGCTGCCTACGTTGAGCTCTGGCTCAAACTGCTAGGGTTTGAATCTTGCCCCATGACTTGCTATCTCTGTGATGTGGGCATATTGTTTAACATTTCTAAGCCTCCCTTTCTGTAAAAAGGAGATAATAACAGTATCTTCTCCATCATGAAATTGGCTGAAAGATCAAGGCTGCTGCTAGCCCACAGGACACCTTTGTGTGAATTAGAGAAAGGCTCTCATTCCTCAAGTGAAAAAAGAACTTTTGAAGTTAGTATATTATATACTATCATTAATTACAATTATACAAACATAAAGTCATTCTGAATAAATACTGTACATCAAATGATTAAACAATGTAATATTCATTTTGAATTTTTAATTACAATTAGAAAATCAAATTTATAGATAACAAGTCAAAAATTTTAACAGCAGTTAATTATAAAATTTCCATAGCAACAAATAAACAAGTGCTCTAATATAATCAGCAGATTGTTACATAGTAATCTCTAATTTGTCAATTTAATACATACTTTGTATATTATTGATGCTAAATTATATTAGCTATTACCTAGTTATTTGTATCATAATGAAAATGCCTGTATACTTAAAATAGAACTCTGCTATCTTACTTGAGTACAGAAGACAAGTGCCAGAGTATATGAAGTATAAAGATTTGAAAAAAATTTAAGATACTAATCAGTTAGTACTTCAGTGAGAAAAAAATCTTATTTAGAAATGTAGGTTATTTTGAATGTTGTTAGATCATCAAGATCTTTTAATAATCAAATATATTCTTCCTTTGTAAGTCCAAGCAAAATGTAATATATATCAATCCTATTAAGTAAGACATTTTACTGCCACCTGTCAGTAAACTATCTTCATAAATATATAGCTCTGTCATCTTTAAAGTTAGCCAAGTTATGATAAAAATATGAACAGTCTTCAAAATGATAAAAAGGGCTATGATGTGACAGTCTTTTTAGTTGTGCTACTCTCATGCAATGTCCAACCTAAACCATTGTATGCATTGGTGCTGGGAAGGATTACAAGAGATAATTCTATAAAGTACTTTATATGCGTAAGGACTATTATACACTGAGTGATCACTGGATGTTAGTGTTTTATTTTTTATTATTAAACCTATGTTGTAATTGTGGTGTTTTAAAATGCCCTAGTTGAAGTCCTAGTTTCTTTTTTTCTTGGAGACAAAATTTCGCTCTTGTTGCCCCGACTGGAGTGCAATGGCACGATCTCAGCTCACCGCAACCTCTGCCTCCTAGGTTCAAATGATTCTCCTACCTTAGCCTCCTGAGTAGCTGGGATTACAGTCGCCTGCCACCACACCAGCTAATTTTTTGTATTTTTGGTAGAGACGGGGTTTCACTGTGTTGTCCAGGCTGGTCTCAAACTCCTGACCTCAGGTGATCTACCTGCCTCGGCCTCCCAAAGTGCTGGATTTACAGGCATGAGCCACCGTGTCTGGCCTCTAGTTTCCTTTTTGATTAGTACTGAATGTAAATTGTCAGTGTGGATAAAGTAGTTTAAAGAGAGATGCTCGGCTGGGCGTGGTGGCTCATGCCTGTAATCCTAGCATTTTGGGAGGCCGAGGCAGGTGGGTCCTTGAGGTCAGGAGTTCGAGACCAGCTTGGCCAACATGGCGAAACCCCCATCTCTACTGAAAACACAAAAATTAGCCTGGCGTGATGGCGGGCACCTGTAATTTCAGCTACTCAGGAGGCTGAGGCAGGAGGATCACTTGAACTTGGAAGGCAGAGGTTGCAGTGAGCTGAGATCATGCCACTGCACTCCACCCTGGGTGGCAGAGTGAGACCCCATCTCTAAATAAATAAATAAATAAATAAAGAGAGATGCTCTACACTAAATGGCAAAGAACTTTCTCAATTAACTCCATCTCTTCTCTTCACCAGAACCAAACTACAGCAGGTAATAATGGGATGCACAGTACCTCGTTTTTAGTTGAAATTGATTGCTTGTTCTCAGATTCACTATAGAGAACAGTCCATGTTATCATTTGTTTCAATGTTTTGCTTTAGTCCTTTTAATGACAACAGCCCGGGAAAGGAGCCCCAAGGCTGCTTGCTGAAATACAAATAATGTAGCCCAGTGTGTATTCTGTAGTGGGATATTCATGGGAAAGAAATGAGAATAATTTAATGCTCAGAGGTAAGCATATTTAAAGAAAAAGTAAAAATAGAAGTTTGTGTGCTGTTTAAAGTTATTTAGAAGGAAAAAGAGTCAGAGAGGATGAGAGAGGTTTTCAGAGACGAGAAGATAGTATTTAGCGAAAATGCTTGCAGAATGATCAGAAGACTAAGAAAACATGAGCAAAAGGAAGCAGTGGGAAGCCATGTGGAAAAGGTCAGGGGAAGGTTGGTAAGCAGCATGCAGAGAAAGGTGAAAACTGAAAGTTGAAATTTAAGGTTGAAGGCATTAGAATGAGATCAAAAGCAGAGAAACAGCTCAGTCACTGAAGCCAAGCCTGACGTTTCCATACCCCGAGGTGAGTACAGCACAGCTCTAGGAGCCCACTAGCAATTTTCTGCAGAAAACGTCAAAAGAAAAGATACCTAGCTGAGGGGAGACCAAGTTCCTTAATTTTGTATTTGTTGTTTTATTTTTAGAAAGTCATTTTGTTTTTAAGATCATGCCACAGTATTTTCAAAGGCCTTTGTAAAGAAAGATACCATATGCATTCGAAGTATTATTAGTTAGTTATCTGGGGTTAATTCTGGACAAATGTTTCTAAGAAAGATGAACATAAGGAAATAGACACAGAGAGAGAGTATAGACACAAAACAAAGCAATAGGGAAAACCTTGAAAGGAAGGAGAAGGGTGGCTCTGTGATGAGCAAAAAAACTACCAGTGAGAAGCAGAGACAGGGCAAAAAAAAAAAAAAAAAGATGTCTAAGCTCTGAGGAAGGGAAATCACTGATCAGAATGTTTTCCCATTACATATACATATAATCCATATATATATATGGATTTACGGAGTCTTGCTCTGTTGCCCGGGCTGGAGTGCAGTGGCTGGATCTCAGCTCACTGCAACCTCCACCTCAAGGGTTCAGCCTGCCTCAGCCTCCCTAGTAGCTGGGATTACAGGGGCGTGTCATGACACCTGGCTAATATTTGTATTTTTAGTAAGGATGGGGTTTCACCATGTTGGCCAAGCTGGTCTCAAACTTCTGACCTCAGATGATCTGCCTGCCTCGGCCTCCTAAAGTGCTGAGATTACAGGCGTGAGTCACTGCGCCCGGCCAATATATATGGATTTCCATTCTTTTATATCTCTCTCCACTTAAAAAATAAAGAATAACCTAAGTCAGACATCAGCAAACTTGTCCTGAAAAGTAGTAAATATTTTAGGCCCTGAAGTCTAGATCATCTTTGACACAAGGATTCAGTTCTTCCATTGTTCAGTGAGAGCAGCCATGGACAATGTATAAAGGAATTAGGGTAGCTGTGTTTCAATCAAACTTTATTTACAAAAACAGATGCAGGCCTGTGGGTTATAAGTTTGCTGACCCCTGACCTAAGGGATTTAATCTTCTCATTTCCAGATGAAAATATGAGTTCCGGAGTATTTCATTAAGCTATCCAGAGCCTCACAACTCAGTAGTGGGAAGCAAAAGTTGGAGAATAAGATGTGTTTAGTTATACATTCTGAACTTGGAGAGATACAGATCTTTTTAAGCAAAATAACATGAACTGTAATTTGTGCTCTCAGACACCTTCTGAATGCTTCACTCTAGATAATCAAGGCTTCTGAGTAGCTTAGGGGGCTACTGCATGAAGCAACCAAGCCATCCACGTCAATTACTTTGGATGGGTCATCTTTCTAAGATCTATTACATATGGTCATGCCTTTTATTTTATTTTTTTTGGCATTTATTTAATAACATTTATTTTATTTTTCCGTAAGTTATTGGGGTACAGGTGGTATTTGGTTACATGAGTAAGTTCTTTAGTGGTGATTTGTAAGATTTTGGTGCACCCAAACCTAAGCAGTACACACTGCACCCTATTTGTAGTCTTTTATCCCTCGCCCCCCTCCCGTGCTCCCCCCAGGTCCCCAGAGTCCATCGTATCATTCTTATGCCTTTGCATCCTCATAGCTTAGCTCTCACATATCAATGAGAACATGTGATGTTTATTTTTCCATTTCTGAGTTACTGGACTTAGAATAATAGTCTCCAATCTCATCCAGATCACTGCAAATGCTGTTAGTTCATTCCTTTTTATGGCTGTGTAGTATTCCATTGTATATATATACCACAGTTTCTTTATTTACTCATTGATTGATGGACATTTGGATTGGTTCCATGATTTTACAATTGTGTTGCTATAAACATGTGTGTGCAGGCATCTCTTTAGAATAATGACTTCTCTTCCTCTGGGTAGATACCCAGTAGTGAGATTGCTGGATCAAACTACTAAAAGAACTACTTTTAGTTCTTTAAGCAATCTTCACACTGTTTTCCATAGTGGCTGTACTAGTTTACGTTCCCATCAGCAGTGTAGAAGTGTTCCCTCTTTACTGCATCCATGCCAGCATCTACTGTTTTTTGATTTTTTGATTATGGCCATTCTTGCAGGAGTAAGGTGGTATTGCATTGTGGTTTTGATTTGCATTTCCCTGATCATTAGTGATGTTGAGCATTTTTTCATATGTTTGTTGGCCCTTTGTATATCTTCTTTTGAGAATTGTCTATTCATAGCCTACTTCTTGATGGGATTGTTTGCTTTTTTCTTACTGATGTGTTTGAGTTCGTTGTAGATTCTGGATATTAGTCCTTCATCAGATGTGTAGATTGTGAAGATTTTCTCCCACTCTGCGGGTTGTCTGTTTACTCTGTTGACTGTTCCTTTTGCCATGCAAATGCCCTTTAATTAGGTCCCAGCTATTTATCTTTGTTTTTATTGCATTTGCTTTTGGGTTCTTGGTCATGAAATCGTTGCCTAAGAAGGGTTTTTCCAATGTTATCTTCTAGAATTTTTATAGTTTCATGTCTTAGGTTTAAGTCCTTAATCCATCTTGAGTTGATTTTTGTATAAGGTGAGAGATGAGGATCCGGTTTCATTCTCCTGCAGGTGGGTAGCCAATTATCCCAACACCATTTGTTGAAAAGGGTATCCTTTCCCCACTCTATGTTTTTGTTTGCTTTGCCAAAGATCAGTTAGCTGTAAGTATTTGGGTTTATTTCTGGGTTCTCTATTCTGTTCCATTGGTCTATGTGCCTATTTTTATACCAGTACCATGCTGTTTTGGTGACTATCGCCTCATAGTATAGTTTGAAATCAGATCGTGTGATGCCTTCAGATTTGTTCTTTTTGCTTAGTCTTGCTTTGACTATGTCGGCTCTTTTTTGGTTCCATATGAATTTTAGAATTGTTTTTTCTAATTCTGTGAAGAATGATGGTGGTATTTTGATGGGGATTCCACTGAATTTGTAGATTGCTTTTGGCAGTATGGTCATTTTCACAATATTGATTCTACCCATCCGTGAACATGGGATGTGTTTCCATTTGTTTGTGTTGTCTGTGATTTCTTTCAGCAGTGTTTTGCAGTTTTCCATGTAGAGGTAGTTTGACTCTTTTGTTAGATATATTTCAAAGTATTTTATTTTATTTTTTGCAGCTGTTTTAAAAGGGGTTGAGGTTTTGATTTGATTCTCCACTTGGTTGCTGTTGATGTACGGAAGAGCTACTGATTTGTGTACGTTAATCTTGTATCTGAAAACTTTGCTGAATTCTCTTATCAGTTCTAGGAGCTTTCTGGAGGAATCCTTAGGGTTTTCAAGGTAAACGATCATATCATCAGCAAACATTGACAGTTTGACTTCCTCTTTACCAATTTGGATGTGCTTTCTTTCTTTCTCTTGTCTGATTTCTCTAGCTAGGACTTCCAGTACTATATTGAAGAGAAGTGATAAGAGTGGGCATCCTTGTCTTATTCCAGTTCTCAGAGGGAATGCTTTCAACTTTTCCCCATTCAGTATTATGTTGGCTGTGGGTTTGTCATAGATGGCTTTTATTACATTAAAGTATGTCTCTTATATACCGATTTTGCTGAGAGTTTTAATCATAAAGGATGCTGGATTTTGTCAAATGCCTTTTCTGCATCTATTGAGATGATCATGTGATTTTTGTTTTTAATTCTGTTTATGTGGTGTATCACATTTATTGACTTGTGTGTGTTAAACCATCCCTGCATCCCTGGTATGAAACCCAGTTGATCATGATGGACTATCTTTTTGATATGTTGTTGGATTCAGTTAGCTAGTACTTTAAGGATTTTAGCATCCATGTTCATCAAGGATATAGGTCTGTAGTTTTCTTTTTTGGTTATGTCCTTTCCTGATTTTGGTATTAGGGTGATGCTGGCTTTATAGAACGAATTAGGGAGGGTTGCTTCTTTCTCTATCTTGTGAAAAGGATCTCTGTCAAAAGGATTGGTACCGGCCGGGTGCAGTTGCTCACGCCTGTAATCTCAGCACTTTGGGAGGCCGAGGCAGGCAGATCACGAGGTCAGGAGATCGAGACCATCCTGGCTAACGTGGTGAAACCCCGTCTCTACTAAAAATACAAAAAATTAGCTGGGCATGGTTGTGGGTGCATGTAGTCCCAGCTACTTGGGAGGCTGAGGCAGCAGAATGGCATGAACCCGGAAGGCGGAGCTTGCAGTGAGCTGAGATCGCGCCAGTACACTCCAGCCTGGGTGACAGAGCGAGAGTCCGTCTCAAAAAAAAAAAAAGGATTGGTACCAATTTTTCTTTGAATATCTGGTAGAATTCTGCTGTGACTCCATCTGATCCTGGACGTTTTTTTGTTGGTAACTTTTAAATTACCATTTCAGTCTGTTCAGGGTGTCTAATTCTTCTGATTTAAGCTAGGAGGGTTGTATTTTTCCAGGAATTTATCCATCTCTTCTAGGTTTTCTAGTTTATGTGTGTAAAGGTGTTCATAGTAGCCTTGAATTATCTTTTTCTTTTCGGTGGTATCAGTTGTAATAATGTGAGATTATTTAGATCTTCTGTCTTCTTGGCTAATCTTGCTAATGGTCTATCAATTTTATTTGTCTTTTCAAAGAACCAGCTTTTTGTTTCATTTATCTTTTGTGTTTTTTTTTGTTTCAATTTCATTTAGTTCTGCTCTGATCTTGGTTACTTCCTTTCTTCTGCTGGGTTTGGGTTTGGTTTGATCTTGTTTCTCTAGTACCTTGAGGTGTGACCTTAGATTATCTGTTTGTGCTCTTTCAGACTTCTTGATTTAGGCATTTAGGGCTATGATCTTTCATCTTAGCACCACCTTAGCTATATCCCAGAGGTTTTGATAGGTGATGTCATTATTATCATTAAGTTCAAATAATTTTTAAATTTCCATCTTGAT
Source organism: Homo sapiens (assembly GCF_000001405.40). Taxonomy (NCBI): domain Eukaryota; kingdom Metazoa; phylum Chordata; class Mammalia; order Primates; family Hominidae; genus Homo; species Homo sapiens. The sequence goes on from NC_000006.12 coordinate 155,338,580, forward strand.
TTTGCTTTTGACCCAGTGCTCATTCAGGAACAGATTATTTAATATCCATGTATTTGCATTGTTTTGAAGGTTCCTTTTGGAGTTGATTTCCAGTTTTATCCCACTGTAGTCTGAGACAGTGCTTGATATAATTTCAATTTTCTTAAATTTATTAAGCTTTGTTTTATTGCCTATCATACGGTCTATCTTGGAGAAAGTTCTATGTGCTGTTGAATAGAATGTGTATTTTGTGGTTGTTGGATGGAAGTCTGTGAAGTCCATTTGTTTTAAGGTATAGTTTTAAGTCTATTGTTTCTTTGTTGACTTTCTGTCTTGATGACTTGTCTAGTGCTATCAGTGGAGTATTGGAGTCCCCACTATTATTGTGTTGCTGTCTCTCTTGTTTGTTAGGTCTGTTAGTAATTGCTTTATAAATTTGGGAGCTCCAGTATTAGGTGCATATATGTTTAGGATTGTGATATTTTCCTGTTGAACAAGGCCTTTTACCATTACGTCATATCCCTCTTTGTCTGTTTTAACCACTGTTGCTTTAAAGTTTGTTTTCTGTGATATAATAGCTACACCTGCTTGCTTTTGGTTTCCATTTGCATGAAATGCCTTTTTCCACCCCTATAAGTTTATGTGAATACTTAGGTGAGTCTCCTGAAGGCAGCAGATAGTTGGTTGGTGAGTTCTTATCCATTCTGCAGTTCTGTACCTTTTAAGTGGAGCTCTTAGGCCATTTACATTTAATGTTAGTATTGAAGGTACCATTGCATTCATCATGCTCTTTGTTGCTTGGGTACTTTGGTTTTTTGGTTTTTGTTTTTGCTTTTTAACTTGTATTTTTGTTTTATAGGTCCTGTGTGATTTATAGTTTAAAGAGGTTCTGTTTTGATGTGTTTCCAGGATTTGTTTCAAGATTTAGAGCTCCTTTTGGCAGTTCTTATAGTGGTTGGCTTGGTAATGGCAAATTCTCTCAGCATTTGTTTGTCTGAAAATGACTTTATCTTTCCTTCAGATATGATGCTTAGTTTTGCTTGGATACAAAATTCTTGGCTGATAATTGTTTTGTTTGAGGAGGCTGAAGATAGTCCCTTCTAGCTTATAGGGTTTCTGCTGAGAAATCTGCTGTTAATCTGATAGATTTTCCTTTATAGGCTACCTGGTGCTTCTGTCTCACAGCTCTTAAAATTCTTTCCTTTGTCTTAGCTTTGGATAACCTAATGACAATATGTCTAGGCAAAGATTTTTTTTTTTTTTTAAACAGTTTCACTTTTGTTGCCCAGGCTGGAGTGCAATGGTGCGATCTTGGTTCACCGCAACCTCCACCTCCCGGGTTCAAGTGATTCTTCTGCCTCAGCCTCCCAAGTGGTTGGGATTACAGGCATGTGCCACCACGCCCAGCTAATTTTATATTTTTAGTAGAGATGGGGTTTCTCCATGTTGGTCAGGCTGGTCTCAAACTCCCAATCTCAGGTGATCCACCCACCTCGGCCTCCAAAAGTGCTGGGATTACAAGCGTGAGCCCTCTGACTTTCAAATAGTCTGTCTTTGAGCTTACTATTTCTTTCTTCCAATTGACCAGTTCTGCTGTTGATGCTCTCTATTGCATTTTTTAATCTCATTAATTGTATTTTTTACCTCCAGGATTTGTTTGATTTTTAAAAAGTTATTTCAATCTCTCCCTTAAATTTCTCCGATAAATTTCTGAATTGATTCTCTGTGTTTTCTTGAAGTTTGTTGAGCTTCCTTAAAACAGCTATTTAAAATTCTTTGTCCAAGAGATTACACATTTCCATCACTTTCAGGGTCAGCTTCTGGCACCTTATTTTGTCTGTTTGGTGAGGTCATATTTCCTTGAACGTTCTTGATGCTTGTGACGTGTGACCATGTCTGAGCATTGAGGGATTAGGTATTCATTTTAGCCTTCACAAATTGGCCTTGTTTGTGCCTGTCCCTGTCAGAGGGCCTTCTAGGGATTTTAAGCAGACTGTCTTGGTTTTCCTGAGCCTGTGACCACTGTAGCTGTCTCAGCACTAGAGGACACTATAAGCTCAGGCTTACTCCAGGTCTTGTGAGGATTCCAAAGTTTGTGTGGCCTTCTGGCTCAGATGAGCCTGGTGAGGACCCAAGGAGGGTACTGGGGCTGAGTGGGAATACTGGCCAGTAAGTCCAGAAGACTGTCCTGATGGCTCAGATGGGTATGCCTCCCAGCAGGTCTCTGCACAGGTGATATAGGTCCCTGACTGCAGCTAGAGGGGCTGGATTTGAGACTGGGTCCCCTTGGGATCTGTTGTGAGAAGGAGACTGGCGGGCCTGTCTCATTGACTCAGGCATGCATCACACAGCAGGTCTTTGAAAAGCAACGTTCTTCCTTGTTACAACAGTATGGGCTGGAGCTGAGGCTGGGCCCCTTTGGGATCTGTTGTTAGCCACAAGTTCACTAAGTGCCCTGGTCATTGTGATTTGTACCATTAGCCTAATTCATCTGTTTTAGACTCCCAGGTCAACCCTACCCTTCTAGATTGACTTTGCTCCCCTTAGCCACAAATAACATCTTGCCTCATGGGGGAGGTACATCACCTATTAGCAGGAGCAAATAAGCTCTTAGAGATGGCCTGAGGAGCTTGCCTAAGCAAAAGCATGACTTTATGACATAGTATTTCTAGGATGACTGTATGTTCTGGTTTGCCTGTGACCATCTCAAGTTTATGTTTGTTGTCCAGGCATAATTATTAATAGTGCTCCAGTCATTGTCATTATTTGGATGAAATACGGTAACCCTACAATTTTCATCTGAGTAATGGGAATAAGATTGCCAACCCTTTTAAAAATTACACAGTAGTTCCTCCTTATCTGTGGTTTTGCTTTCTGTGGTTTCAGTTACTCATGGTCAACTGCAGTACAAAAACATTAAATGGAAAATTTCAGAAATAAACGAGTCATAAATTTTAAATCAAATGCTATTTTGAGAAGCACAATGAACTCTCATGCCATCCTGCTCTGTCCCACCCAGGTCCTTAATCATCCCTTTGTCCTGTGTATCCACCTGCCCATTACACTACCTACCTAGTTAGCCACTGACATCATGTGTTCCTGACATCCAACCATTGACATAGTCATGGCTTGATGATCCAGGATCACCCAAAGCAGACACTCTTCCTTCTGAAGGGTCATCAGAAAGTCAAATAGTTGCCTAATGCTGCATCACAATGCCTACTTCATTCACCTCATTTCATGTATCATGTAGGCATGTATCATCTCAAATTATCAGAAGAACAATGAGTACAGTGTAATAAGATATTTTGAGAGAGATAAAGAGAGCAAGCACATCCACATAACTTATTGTAGTATATTTTTGTAATTGTTCTATTTTATTATTTGATAATGTTAATCCCTTACTGTGCCTAATATATAAATTAAACTTTATTGTATGTATGTATGGAAAAAGTAGTATATATAGGATTTTATACTATTTATGGTTTCAGGCACGCACTGGGGCTCTGGAACATGTCCCCCATGGATAAGGGGAAACTACTATAATGCTATTTAGCAGATCAAATGAGATTATGTTTATGAAAATCTTTTAAAGGGATTTGAAGACAGCCTGCCCTGGCTGCATGAGGTGATGGCATTATTTGTTGTTGTTATTATCTGTTTTGGCTCATGCAGACGTATTAGTTCAAATTCCATTTTCTTGGTTATTGGATATTTTTTAGACTGTTGAGGTCAGGAAACAAGTTATCTTCAGCTTCGAGAGGTGTTATTATATATACGGTTTCATTAGCAGTAAAAAATCTCATTGTTTCAAGTAAACACTTCATTTAAAAATACAATTGATTTTTACGAAATAGAACCATACTACTACTACATTTTTTTTCCCCACTATTCATGCTGGACTTCTAAATGATAAAAAAGGAAAAAGATATATGAATAGAATTTTAATCACATGGTAAACAATAAAGCACCCATTATAGAAACAGCATAAATAAGAAACAAAACATAGACTACCTAACCCTGTATGTATGGTGTGTGTACGTTTGTGGGTAGTTTTAATGAAATTTAAGAAATGCAAACTTACTAAGTGTGCATTTTCCTGTACCTGTTAGTATTGAAATAGACAAATATGCTTAGCAAGAAAGGAAAAAAATTGGGGTGGGTAACCAATAAGTTGATAAATAAGGTCCCAAATAACTGAGAGTTTACTGTAGTTTAAGCAGTCACATTACTTCTTTTTAGCAAAACAGATAAACGATCACATCTGTAATTAAACTCTGGTCTGATTGCATTGCTATATCTAAGTGTTTGCCTCTGGTGTAATAATGTGCTTTCTCAAATGGGATTGCTTTTCTATTGCTCTTTATTCCTGAATGACCTGGTCTTTCCTGAACCAGGGAGAAAATGTGCTTTATAATGAAATAATGATTTCTTTCAAGGTTTAACAGTATTATTTGCTAAGTTATCTCTTTTAGGGTCTCTAATGATGCCTCCAGGCAGTGAAGGAGTTACTTTTCCTCAAGAAGAAAATTAAAAAATAGAAATGGAAATTTTCATAATGGAAAATTAAAAGTGTGAGTTCCTTAAAAGGAAGAAAAGCTTTTATGGATCTCACAGGAGGATTCTTGGTTACTCCACTAAGCAACTTCGCCTGACCATTTTTTTTTTTTAAGTAGTGAAATGTAATGTGTGTTCGAATGTCTTAGAAGTTCAAACTTTTAGCCTATATGTTCTGTTTGGCCTGAGGCACTAAGAAATAGTATGAAATTTCATATAGAAATATGGATTTTTGGCTTCCCTTTAAAAATTTTTTACATATCAACAAGTTAGCTGGCTGTCCTTCTATTGATGCCCTCATTAGAGGCATAGGGCATTTGTCAGTCCTTTGTCATGTCACTTAGCTAACAGACTTGGTCTTAAAGTTTGCAACTCTTAATCCATATTGTCATTCATTTAAAAAATTATACAGACATGTTATATGAAAAACTTTGCTCAAGGAGCTAAGCCAAGATGCACATGGCCTGTTACTTAAGGGATCTTATGGAATACCAGATCACTGATATGTTCAGTGGAACGCATTCCATGACACATGAGTTGAGATGTGTTCCAGATTTCTGCTTTGGAAGTTCACAATGCATGTTAGCATATTAAAGGCTTTGAAAGCCTCCAGTAATGAAACTGTTATATATTTAACCATTATTGAAGAAAAAAAGGGCTAGTTCTGGGGAACACACTTTGAGAAATGGTGATCTGTAGCTTGGCTGTAAATTAAAGGAGGCTATTAACATTTACATATTAATAAATATAGGAAATGAATCAGAGACCTAGAAGAGTCTCATACAAATATATTCACAGGGAAAAAATAACTGAATTCAAGACTCTTCATCTTCTATTTGGAATAAGGTCCATAAGGTATAAAAGCTCATATGCCTTTTTTTGTAAAACACTAATATTAGATGGAGCTTTATATTTTCTGTTTTTAAAAAATTACCATTTGCATAAAGAAATTTTCTAAAATTTAGTCATTATGGCAAGTGGGAAGATTAAGTAAATATGGACTGTTTTGAAGACTGATTCACTAATACATTCGTGTATTTCTTTAACACAGCCAAGTCCTTTGGATTTTACCTTGTAAATATCCCTACTATGCATACACTCCTCTCTAACTCACTGGCTCCCTATAGTGGCACTACTGTCATCTATCTCAGGGTGACTGAAGCACCTCCCAACTGTAATACATTTCTTACACTGTATCCAGATGAACTTTAAAAAATGAAAATCTGATGTTTCTTGAAAGCTTGGAATGGCTTCCAATTGCTCTTAAAGACCAAACTCCTTATGATATCTGCAAAGCCTCATGTGATCTGGGCCAGCTCTGTCTCCAGCCTCATCTAATTAAAAAAAAAAACCTGTTATTTTAGGTTCAGGGTTCATGTGAAGGTTTGTTATATAAGTAAACTTCTGTTGCAGCTGTTTGTTGTACAGATTATTTCATCACCCAGGTGTTAAACCTAGCACCCAATAGTTATTTTCTCCACTCTCAAGTAGACCTCAGTATCTGTTGTTCCCTTCTTTTTCTTCATGAGTTCTCATCATTTAGCTCCCACTTATAAGTGAGAACATGCGGTATTTGGATTTCTGTGTAAGTTTGCTAAGAAGCTATGTTAGTTTCTGTGTTAGTTTGCCTCCAGCTCCATCCATGTTCCCACAAAAGACATGATGTCATTCTTTTTATGGCTGCATAGTACTCCTCGGTATATATGTACCACATTTTCTTTATCCAATTTGTCATTGATGGACATTTAGGTTGATTCTATGTCTTTGCTATTGTGAATAGTGCTGCAGTGAACATTCTCATGCATGTGTCTTTATGGTCAAATAATTTAAATTCCTCTGGGTATATACACAGCAATGGGACTGCTGGGTTGAATGGTAGATCTTTAGATCTTTGAAGAATTGCCATACTGCTTTCCACAATGGTTGAACTAATTTACACTCCCACCAAGAGTATATAAGTTTTCCCTTTTCTCTGCAGCCTCACCAGCATCTGTTATTTTTTGACTTTTTATAATAGCCATTCTGATTGCTGTGAAATGGTATCTCATTGTGTTTTTGATTTGCATTTCTCTAATGATCTGTGATATTAAGCTTTTTTTTCAATGTGCTTGTTGGCCACAAGTACGTTTTCTTTTGAAAAGTATCTGTTCATGTCTTTTGACCACTTTTTAATGGGGTTGTTTGTTTTTCTCGTCTATTTAAGTTTCTTACAGATGCTGGATATTAGACCTTTGTCATATGCGTAGTTTGCAAATATTTTCTCTCATTCTGTAGGTTGTCTGTTTACTCTGTTGATAGTTTCTTTTGTGGTGCAGAAGCTTTTAAGTTTAATTAGATCCCATTTGTCAATTTTTGCTTTTGTCATGATTGCTTTTGGTGTCTTTGTCATGAAATCTTTACCTGTTCCTGTGTCCAGGATGGTATTGCATAGGTTGTCTTTGAGGGTGTTTGTAGTTTTGGGTTTTACATTTAAATCTTTAATCCATCTTGAGTTAATTTTTATATATGGTGTAAGGAAGGGGTCCAGCATCAATCTTCTGCATATAACTAGCCAGGTATCCCAGCACCATTTATTGAATAGGGAGTCTTCTCCTCATTTCTTGCTTTTCGTCAACTTTGTCAAAGATCAGATGGTCACAGTGTGTTGGTCTGTTTCTGGGCTCTCTCTTCTGTTCCATTGGCCTATGTGTCTGTTTTTGTACCAGTACCATGCTATTTTGGTTACTGTAGCTTTGTAGTATAGTTTGAAGTCAGGTAATGTTATGCCTCCAGCTTTGTTCTTTTTGCTTAAGATTGCCTTGGTTATTCATGCTCTTTTTTGGTGCCATATAAATTTTAAAATAGTTTTTTTTTCAAGTTCTGTGGAAAATGTCATTGGTAGTTTGGTAGGAATAGCATTGAATCTGTAAATTGCTTTGGGCAGTGTGGCCATTTTAATGATATTGATTCTTCCTATCCACGAGCATGGGATGTTTTTCTATTTGTTTGTGTTTTCTCTGATTTCCTTGAGCAGTGTTTTGTAATTCTCATTGTAGAGATCGTTAACCTCCCTGGTTATCTGTATTCTTAGGTATTTTATTATTTTTGTGGCAGTTGTGAATGGGATTGCCTTCCTGATTTGTCTCTTAGCTTGTCTGTTGCTGGTGTATAGGAATGCTAGTGATTTTTGTACATTGATTTTTGTGTCCTGAAACTTTGCTGAAGTTGCTTATCAGCTGAAGGAACTTTTGCACCTAGAGACTGTAGGGTTTTCTAGATATAGAATCATGTCGTCCTTTTTTTTTTCTTTTTTTTTTGAGATGGAGTTTCGCTCTTGTCCCCTAGGCTGGAATGCAGTGGTGTGATTTTGGCTCATTGCAACCTCTGCCTCCTGGGTCGAAGCAATTCTCCTGCCTCAGCCTCCTGAGTAGCTGGGATTACAGGTGTGCACCACCATGCCTGGCTAATTTTTGCATTTTTAGTAGAGATGGGGTTTCATCATGTTGGCCAGGCTGGTCTCAAACTCCTGACCTGAAGTGATCTGCCTGCCTCGGCCTCCTAAAGTGTTAGGATTACAGACATGAGCCACCACGACTGGCCTGTCTTTTTTGATCTTTGTTGGTTTAAAGTCTCTTTTGTCTGAAATTAGGATTGCAACTCCTGCTTTTTCTGTTTTTCATTTGTTTGGTAGATTTTTTCTCCTTCCCTTTATTTTGAGCCTATAGGTATCATCACATGTGAGATGAGTCTCTTGAAAACAGCGCATGATTGGGTGGGTCTTGTTTTTTTTTTTTTCCCCAGCTTGCCACTCTGTGCCTTTTAAGTGGGGGCATTTAGCCCATTTACATTTAATGTTAGCATTGATATGTGTGGATTTCATCTTGTCATTGTGTTGTTAGCTGGTTATTGTGCTGGCTTGTTTTTGTGGTTGCTTTGTAGTGTCACTAGTCTGTATATTTAAATGTGTTTTTCTACTAGCTGGTAGCAGTCTTTCCTTTATTTAGTGCTCCTTTCAAGATCTCTTGTAAGGCAGGTCTAGTGGTAACAAACTCTGTCAACATTTGCTTATCTGAAAAGGATCTTTTTTCTCCTTTGCTTAAGAAGCTTAGTTTGGCTGGATATGAAATTCTTGGTTGAAGTTTTTTCTTTAAGATTGTTGAATATATGCCTCATACTCTCTTCTGGCTTGTAGGGTTTTAGCTGAGAGATCCACTGTTAGCCTGATGGGATTCCCTTGGTAAGTTACCTGCCCTTTCTCTTTAACTGCCCTTAACATTCTTTCTTTCATTTCAACCTTGGAAAATCTGATGATTGTGTGTCTTGGGGGTGAACTTCTTGTGTAGACTCTTGCAGGGGTTCCCTCTATTTCCTGAATTTGACTGTTGGCCTCTCTAGCAAGGTTGGGGAAGTTTTCATGAATGATATCCTGAAATATGTTTTCCAAGTTGTTTTCTTTCTTCCCCTCCCATTCAGGGATGCCAGTAATTTGTAGATCTGGCCTCTTTACATAATCCCATACTTCACAGAAGGTTTGTTCATGCCTTTTTTTCTGACTGTCTTAGTTGTGGGAGCCAGTCTTCAAGTTCTGAAATTCTTTCCTTAGCTTGGTCTATTCTGCTGTCAATTCTTGTGTTTGCATTGTGAAATTCTTATATTGTGTTTTTTAATTCTGTCAGATCTGTTAGGTTCCTTTTTGTACTGGCTATTGTGTCCTTCAGCTCCTGCCTCATTTTATTGTGATTCTTAGTTCCCTTGGATTGGGTTTTGCCATTCTCCTGAATTTCAACAGTCTTCATTGCTATTCTTATTCTTAAATTCTATTTCTATCACTTCAAGCAGCTCAGCCTGGTTAAGAACTGTTGGAGAACTGGTGTGTCATTTGGAGGACAGGAGACATCCTGGCCATTTGAGTCACCAAAGTTTTCATGTTGATTCTTTCTCATCTCTGTGTGTGGGTGTTCCTTTAACTGCAGTGTCAATTGAGTACAGTGAATATATTTCTTTTCTGGATGTTTTCACAGAGCCAAGGATTTGTGCAGCGTGCAGAGTGCAGAGTGCAGAGTTTTTATTTGTAGCTGACTTCCTGTCTTTGGTTTCATAGGGGGGTATATTAGCAAGGTAATTTTGGGTTGAAGCTTTGGGGTGTGATCCAGTAGGTGGTTCTTAGATGTATTGGTCAGTTGGTAGGTTGTATGGCCTCCCTATATTTTCTCACAGTTGCAGCCATGTTCCCTCTCAATGCCCTGAAAGTGTGGGCTCCTCTTCCCCTTGAGTGCTGGCTGTAGATCACAGCTTGGCACTCCTGGGATGCCCACTGCAGCTCTGGGATGATCTCAGGGTTTATGTTCCTTCTCCAACCTGGAGGCAGCAGAGGAAGGGACCTTAGTAGTGGTTGTGGCCAAGGGTCTTCTGCTTGTTTCTTGGGGGCTCCACCTCAGATGCAGGTCAGCAATTGCTCAATGCAATCAGCCCAGGATGGAGGGTCTGTGCTATGGACCCAAGCCCAGGGTTTCCTGTCTGATGATGAGCAGGAGGCATGGGACCCATAGGAGACTGGCTTCTTCTCCTTGGGTTGACATAGCCTGTTGGAGGTGTGGATAAGGGTCTTTATCCTTACCTACAAAGACCTTAGGGTCTTTGCTCCTTCGTTAGTCTGCGGGTAGCAAAGGCAGTCCCACTGCAGTGGCAGTGGCAGAGAGGGGGATCTCTCTGGGGGATCTGTTACTGGGGGATCTGTTCAGGGAGTTGAGTTGCAGAGCTGCTACTGGCTCAATAGCCTTAGAAGGGGGTGGCTGGAGGCCCAGGCCTGGAGGACCTGCCTAGTAAGGAGATATGGGAAGAGGCACTCATGTGACAGTCTGGCCACTTTTGCATAGGGCTGCTGTGGTATGCTGGGGCTCTGCTCCACTTTCTAGACACCTCAAATTTTCTCAAATTTGGAGGTATAAACAGTAAAGGCTGTGAAACAGCAAAGATGGTGGCCTGCCTCTCCCTCTGGGAGCTGTGTCTCAGGGAGAGATCTGTTGCCAGCCTGAACGCACCTGTAGGAGGTACCCGGAGACCCCAGTTGGGAGGTTCTGCCCAGTGAGGAGAAATGGGATTGGGGATATCCTTTAAAAGACAGTCTGGTCACATTTTCATAGAGCAGCTGTGCTGTGCTGGGAATCTGCTCCAGCTACTTGTTGCCTTGGATTCTCTAAAGCCCAAAGGCTGGAATGGCTGAGTCACCCAAATAGCAGAGATGGTCACCTGCCCTGCCTGCTGGGAGCTCTGTCCTAGGGAGGTTTGAAACCACTGTCAGCTGGAGAACACTGCTTGGCATAGCTGAAGACCCCAGTTGGGAAGTCCTGCCCAGTGAGGAAGAATGGGATTGGGGACCTGCTTAAAGCAGTCTGGCTACACATTTGTAGAGCAGCTGTGATGTGCTGGGGGTCTGCTTTAGCCCCTGGTCACCTTGGACTTTCGGAGCTCAAAGGACAGAATGGCTAAGTCATCCAAATAGCAAAGATGGCAGCTTGTGCCTCCCTCTGAGTGCTCCATTCCAGGGAAGTTTAAAACCTCAGTTGGCTGGAGAACACTGGTAGGGGTAGCCGAAGGCCCTGGTTGGAAGGTCCTGCCCAGTGAGGAGGACTAAGATCGGAGGCCCACTTTAAGAAGCAGTCTGGCCACATTTTTGCAGAGCAGCTGGGCTATGCTGAGGGTCTGCTTCAGCCCCTAGTTGCCTCAAACTCTCCAAAGCCCAAAGGCCAGAACAGCTAAGTTGGCCAAACAGCAAAGATGGTGGCCTGCCCCTCCCTCTGGGAGTTCCATCCCAGGGAGGTTTGAAACCTCTTGTCAGCTGGAGAACACTGGTGGGGATAGCTAGGGATGGTGGTTGGGAGGTCCCGCCCAGTGAGGAGGAATGAGATGGGGGACCCTCTTAAAAAAAACAGCCTGGCCATGTTTTCATAGAGCTGCTGCGCTGTGCTGGGGACCCACTTCAGCCCCTGGTTACCTCAGACTCTCCAAAGCTAGAAACCTGGAATGTCTCAGTTGGCCGAACAGCAAAGGTGGTGGCATGCCCCTCCTTCTGGGAGCTCCATCTCAGGGAGGTGTAACACTGCTACCGGTGGCTGGCTGCAGTTCCAAGCCAGTGGGTCTTATCCCGCGAGGTGCCATGGAAGTGGGGTCTGCAGGCTGTTGCTGCTCAGCCCTTTTGATTCAGTTCCCTTCCTAGGGATATATTCAGGGGTCTAACCTCCCACTTTGTTGGAGTTGCAGCTGCTTTTGTTGGGAAGCCCAGAAAGCCTGGGTATCTAAGGCTCCCAGGTCTCTGCATGTGCCTGAGTGGCTGCTCTGCCAAGACTCCAGAGCTCTGTGCCAGACTGAAGGCCCTGGTGGCATGGGTTCACAGGGGGATCTCCTGACCTAAGAGTTGCAAAGATCCATGAGGGAAGCATGGGTTCCTGGGGTCACACATTCACTCACCACCTCCCTGGGTAGAGGAGGTTCCCCTGGCTCTGTGTTACTCCTGGGTGGGCTATCAACCTGCCTTGCTTTTCTCGATTCTCTGTGGGTTGAATTGTTTCTTTGATTAGACCCAATGCATTTACCTGGATGTATCAGTTGAAAATGCTGTATTTATGCACCCCTTCCATTCCTTTCTGTGAGAGCAGTGCACACTAGCTACTTCTAGTTGGCCATTTTCTCAGGTATTTCCTATATTCTCTTAAACCTTTCAGTCCTTCAACGCGCAGTCTCCCTCCTGCCTCAGGGCCTTGGCACATACTTTATTTTTCCTTGCCTGCAACGTTCTCATCTCTCTCTTGATCCCCCTCTCTGAACTTCCTCTAAGTTAATGTCTATTTATTAAAATCTCAGCTCAATCATTGCTTCTTTATTGACCCACAACCCCCCCAATCCCACAACTCTATCAGGTTCCCCCTTTTTATCTTTCCAGGTAGCAACTTCTACTTTTCCTTCTTATCAGTCATCATGATTTGTAATTGCTTACTTTTTAATGATTATTTAATCAATATTTCTCTCCTTTTGTTTACAAATTTTCTAGCACCTGGCCCAGTGAAGAACACTCAATAAATATAATTAAAGAAATATGTAAGAGAAGATAGAATTTTTATTGCACATTAACAAAAGAAATGAAAGAATCCACCTTTTTGAAAATTTAAAAATAAACCAAAATTTCTTATAGGCTGAGACATTGATCCATATAATTTGGTATAAACTTTGTTTGCTGATGAAGAGAGGGAAGTGGGGAGATGGGATGTAACTAATCTAGCAGCAATGAAAAAACAAAATTTTTCTGGTGAAATAAGTAATGGTTTTCTGGTTGAATAATTCTACACACAGAAAATGATTGATTAGAGTTTCCTGCAAGCCTGGGCTATGCAAATATAGCAGGTGTCTATGTATATGCAAGGCTTGAACACAGTCTTCAGTTACTTTTTTGGGAAAGCTGCCCCAGTTTAGTTTTGAGTCATATTTCTACATCTGTCACTATGTTCTAATCATTACCCAAACAGGTATCAGACATGACCACGTAGGCAAAATAAATAAATAAATAATAAAATTTAAAAAACCCAATTTTGGCTTTAAAGTGTCTCAGCATGGATAATGTGGATGAATGGATACATGTTCTAATCTACTTATATCTACTTATTTCTGTTTCAATTTTAAAAAGTGATAGAGCACTCATGAAGGCATAAGTATTGCCTAACAAGTTAACTGGAGCCTCAGTTAATATGTGCTACATTAGCTGAATGAATGAGTGAATGACTAAAATTTGACAGAAAAAAGATTGTGAGATCTGTGGGATTCTTTCCTTTCCTTTTCTTTTTCTTTCTTTCTTTCTTTTTCTTTTTCTTTTTTTTTTTGAGATGGAGTTTCACTCTTGTTGCCCAGGTTGGAGTGCAATGGCGTGATCTCGGCTCACCACAACCTCCGCCTCCTGGGCTCAAGTCATTCTCCTGCCTCAGCCTCCTAAGTAGCTGAGATTATAGTCATGCACCACCACGCCCAGCTAATTTTGTATTTTTAATAGAGATGGGGTTTCTCCATGTTGGTCAGGCTGGTCTTGAACTCCCGACCTCAGGTTATCTGCCTGCCTCGGCCTCTCAGAGTGCTGGTATTATAGGCATGAGACACCGCACCCAGCCAGATCTGTGGGATTCTTCACTTGATCTTGTGGCGATCTGAGATAACCAAAATCTATTTTGAGAATTAACTCTTCACTTAAGAGCTTCTAGTACAAACTACATGGTTCCTTTGGCAAGTACTTTTTATGTGGCACTAAAGATGCCCTAAGGAGCTTTAGAAAAATCAATGAGAAAGATCCACTTGGTTCCAGAAAGTGTTTTACATTTCAGGAAGGTCAGTGAATCAGTGTTTCTGGTTCATTTCAGCCTAACTGCATTCTATTTGAAGTAGTTTTTTAAATGGTCATCTCCTGATCACTTTTTCTTTTAGGTCTCATTAAGCTTAAAGGGCTTCACCTCAAAGGGACCCTGATCACTAAAAAGTTATTTCTGGATGGAGTGATGTTAGCCAGTTAGAGGATTGGGGGTCACTTGCTCTTATCTTCCCTCAGTAAGAATCCCATCCACAGAAAAAAGTCTCCTTCTGGGTCTCTGAGATTCAGGTAGAAGGCTGTGAAACCTGGTGGAGCCCAAGACCTAGGATAGTGGTTTTGAGAGTGCAGACCTGCACCTAGGTGTCAGACTGGCTGACTGTGCTTCTGAGTTCAAACCTCAAACCAGCCCCATTCCCTAAAGGCTTGCCTTGAACCTACAAACAAAACAATTTTCCAAAGGGTCCAGGAGGAATCATGCACACTATTGCCTCAGCAGAAAGGCTCATCTGCTTGCTGACATCAGTTTCAGTAGTAGACTTGAAAGTTATCCTGCAACTTGGCTCTAGTCCCTTTCAGCTGTGTTCCCAGCTTAGTATTGCTCACACAGGATGCAGAGGGAGACTCACCCATTTGAGTTACTGAGACAGACTTACTGGCCTCTGTCTTCACAGATTTTGAAGGGGCCCAGTCTTGGTGCTAGTACTTCTCTGCCCCAGCCTGGGAGATATTCTTTCCACACAGGGAACTGTTGGGATATTTACCTGTCCAAGCCTTTGTGACAGGTTTTTAAGTCTCTGTCCCACCGAAAATCATGAAGGGGCTCAGTCTCAGTTCCAGTTCTTCACACTGCAGTCAGGAAACGATCCTGCCTTTGCATGGAACTGCTGGGAGACACACCTATCTGAGCCACTTGGACAGGCTTGCCAGCCTCTGTTGCACAACACATCCTGAAGGGACCCTGTCTTGGCTCCAGCCCCTCTCTGCCATGGCCTGGGAGTAATTCTGTCTACACAGAACTACTAGCCAGTCTGAACCACCAGGACAGTCTTGCCAGCCTCTGTTCCACAGCAGATCCTGAGTGAATTTTGACAACAAGCAGTCACTAGTTCTGCTACATCAGGGAGTTTAAAGCCCACCTCAGACCCTTCTCAGAGAGAGAGGCAAATCTCAACTGTACATTTGTACTGAGTATAGCAGTTGGTTCATCTGTCCCAATCCACATTACCTCAAGACTCCTCCTACAGCCCTGTTCAACTGCTGGATTCAAAGAGTGATACCACCTGATCAGAGAATACTCCTATTTCAGCCAGATCACAGGCAATTGCAATTCTGATTCCATAGCTCAGTCTGACTTCAGAATTAAGCCAGTGGTCTTTTTGGATAGCAGAACCAAGCCAGTTGCCCCACACAAATTCAGAGCAAAGGTAGCAGCCCAGTCATCTAGAGAACCTGAGAGCAAGCTCTGCCTGCCCAGAGTCATTACTAGCTGACCAATCTAGAAACATAGGCTAGAATAAACAGTGAAGGTCTATTCCTGCCAAAGAACACTTGTGAAGGCTGGAAAAGGTGGCAGTCTCCACAAATGTGTAAATACCAATGCAAGGATACAAATATTACAAAGACTCAGAAAATCATGACATCTTCAAAAGAAACAGAGCTCCAACAATGGACCCTAAAGAAAGGGAGATCCATGAAATGACAGAAAAAGAATTCAGAATAATTATGTTAAAAAGTTCATAAATTCTAAGCATATATGGATAAAAATTTTAAAAATTTGAAAAATAATACATGAACAAATTAAGAAGTTTGACAAAGAAATACAAATAGTTTTTTAAATCCCAAATAGAAATCCTAGAAATGAACAACACAATGACTGAACTGAAAAATGTAATAGAAAGCTTCAGCAGCCTGCTGGATCAAGCTGAAAAAAAGAATTAGTGAACTCAAGGCAGAATATTTGAAATTATTGAATCAGAGGAGCAAAAAGAAAAAAAAGAACTAAGAAAGCCTATGGGGATTATGTGATGCCATTGAGAGACCTAAGCTATGCATATAGGAATTAAAGCAAAAGAAGGAAAAAAAGGGCCAGAAAATGTATTTAAAGAAATAATTGATGAAAACCCCCCTTATTTGAAGAAAGAAGCCAACATCCTGGTACAGGAAAAAAGAGATCTTGAAACATATTCAACCCAAAGAAGAGGTCACTATGACACATAGCAATTAAACTATCAAAAATCAAAGACAAAGAAAAATTCTGAGAGCAGCATGAGATAAGAAATACATGACATACAAAAGAGTCCAAATGCAACAATCAGCATACTTCTCAGATTAAATCTTGTAGGCCAGGAGGAAGTGGGATAATATATTCAAAGTGCTAAAGAAAAAAATTGCAACCAAGAACACTTTACCTAGCAAAGCTGTCTTTCAGAAATGAGGAATAAATAAAAACTTTCCCAGATGAACAAAAGCTGAGGGATTTCCTCACCATTAGGCTGGCCTTACAGGAATTGCTAAAGGGATTTCTTTAAATTGAAACAAAAGGCTGTTAATAAAATAAAACTTATAAAAGCACAAAACCCAGTAGTATAACGAATATTGAGTTATATTTAAAATACTCTAGGACTGTAATGGTAATGTGTAAAGTAATTTTATTCCTAGTAGTAGGGTTAAAGGACAAAATTATTAACAACAACCATAGCTAAAGTAAACTGTCAAGGGATACATATTACAAAATGATATAGATTCAGACATCAAAAATATAAAATGTGTGGGGGTAGGGGCAGTAAAAGTATACAGTTATATGCAATTAAAGTTAAGTTGTTATCAGATATTAATTTGGAATCATTCTATCATTGGAAGTCTTGCATAACAATGAACAAAAGTTGACCAATGCATGTTAGAAATTTCATTTCCTTTCATTCAAAAGCTTTCTTTGATTGAGGAAATGATGGTTATATGATTGGTACAAACACTAATCATATAACCAGAGATAAGTCCCTCAATAGTTAGAAAACCACTGTTCAATGAAATAAAAGAGGACACAAACAAATGGAAGAACATTCCATGCTCATGGATAGGAAGAATCAATATCGTGAAAATGGCCATACTGCCCAAGGTAATTTATAGATTCAATGCCACCCCCATCAAGCTACCAATGACTTTCTTCACAGAATTGGAAAAACTAAAGTTCATATGAACCAAAAAAAAAGCCCGCATTGCCAAGTCAATCCTAAACTAAAGAGCTTCTGCACAGCAAAAGGAACTACCATCAGAGTGAACAGGCAACCTACAGAATGGGAGAAAATTTTTGCAATCTACTCATCTGACAAAGGGCTAATATCCAGAATCTACAAGGAACTCAAACAAATTTACAAGAAAAAAACAAACAACCCCATCAAAAAGTGGGCAAAGGATATGAACAGACACTTCTCAAAAGAAGACATTTATGCAGCCAAAAGAAACAGGAAAAAATGCTCATCATCACTGGCCATCAGAGAAATACAAATCAAAACCACAATGAGATACCATCTCACACCAGTTAGAATGGCGATCATTAAAAAGTCAGGAAACAACAGGTGATGGAGAGGATGTGGAGAAACAGGAACACTTTTACACTGCTGGTAGGACTATAAACTAGTTCAACCGTTGTGGAAGACAGTGTGGCGATTCCTCAGGGATCTAGAACTAGAAATACCATTTAACCCAGCCATCCCATTACTGGGTATATATCCAAAGGATTATAAATCATGCTGCTATAAAGACACATGCACACGTATGTTTAGTGTGGCACTATTCACAATAGCAAAGACTTGGAAGCAACCCAAATGTCCAACAACGATAGACTGGATTAAGAAAATGTGGCACATATACACCATGGAATACTATGCAGCCATAAAAAATGATGAGTTCATGTACTTTGTAGGGACATGGATGAAGCTGGAAACCATCATTCTTAGCAAACTATCTCAAGTACAAAAAACCAAACACCGCATGTTTCACTCATAGGTGGGAATTGAACAATGAGAACACTTGGACACAGGAAGGGGAACATCACACACCGGGGCCTGTTGTGGGGTGGGGAGAGGGGGGAGGGATAGCATTAGGAGATATACCTAATGCTAAATGACGAGTTAATGGGTGCAGCACACCAGCATGGCACATGTATACATATGTAGCAAACCTGCACGTTGTGCACATGTACCCTAAAACTTAAAGTATAATAATAAAAAAAACTTAAAGTATAATACCCTAAAACTTAAAGTATAATTAAAAAAATATATAAAATACCTAGGAATCAATTTAACCAAAGAAATGGAAGATTTATGTAAGGAAAATGGTAAAAGACTTATGAAAGAAATTGAATAGGAAACAAAGATGGATATTTTATGTTCATGGATTAGAAGAATTAATATTGTTAAAATGACAATACTACCCAAACCTGTTATTTAGAGGTTCACTGCAATCCCTATCAAAATACAAATGATGCTCTTCATGGAAAGAGGAAAAACAATCCTAAAATTTATATGGAACCACAAAAGACCCCAAAGAGCCAAAGCAATGCCAAGGATAAAGAACAAAGCTGAAGACATCATACTACCTGACTTCAAAGTTTACTACAAAGCTAGAGTAACCAAATCAGCATTGTACTGGCAGAAAAACAGGCACATAGACCAATGAAAACAGAACAGAGAACCCAAACATAAATTCACACATTTACAGCCAACTCATCTTGGACAAAGGTGCCAAGAACATACAATAGGGGAAAGAACAGTCTCTTCAATAAATGGTGCTGGGAAACTTGATAACTACATAAAGAGTGAAACTAGAACTCTATCTCTCACAATATACAAAAATCAAATAAAAATGGATTAAAGACTTTAAGACTTGAAACTACAGAAAGAAAACCTGGGGGAAATTCTCCAGTACACTGGTATGGCAAATATATTTTGTATAAGACCTCAAAAGCACAGGTAATCAAAGCAAAAATAGGCAAATGGGATTACATCAAGTTAAAAAGCTTCTGCACAGCAAAGGAAACAATCAACAAAGTGAAAAGACAACCCACAGAATGGGAGAAAGTATTTGAAAACTACTCATGTGACAAGGGATTAATAACTAGTCTATATATAATGCTCAACTCAATAGCAAAACACTAAATAATATGATTAATAATGGGCAAAAGACCTGAATAGACATTTCTCAAAAGAAGATAAACAAAGGGCAAGCAGGTATATGAAAAAATGACCAACGTCACTAATCATTAGAGAAATGCAAGCCAAAACTACAATGAAATATAATCTCACCCCAGTTAAAATGGCTTTCATCTAAAAGATAGGCAATAATGGATGCTGGTAAGGATGTGGAAAAAGGGAAAGCCTTGTATACCATTGGTGAGACTGTAAGTACAGCTACTATGAAAAGTAGTATAGAGGCTCCTCACAAAACTAAGAATAGAACCACCATATGATCCAACAATTCCACTCTTGTATATATATCTACAAGAAAGGATATCAATATATTGAAAAGACATGTGTACATCATGTTTACTGCGGCACCATTCACAATAGTCGAAATATGGAATCAACCTAATTTCTCATCAACAGATAAATGTATAAAGAAAATGTGGCAAATACACACAATGGAATATTATTCAGCTATAAAAAAGAATGAAATTATATCATTTGCAGCAACACAAACGGAACTGGAGGTTAAGTAAAAGAATTCAAGCACAGAAAGACAAATATTGCATGTTCTCATTCATGTGAGAGCTAAAAAGGAGAATTGTGGATGTCATGAAGATAGAGTAGATTGCTGGTTACCAGAGGCCAGGAAGGTAAGTGAGGAAGAGGCATGAAGAGAAGTCCATTATTGGATACAAATATGTGGCTTGGGCCAGGTGTGGGCAACCTGTAATCCTAACACTTTGAAAGGCCAAGGCAGGAAGATTCCTTGAGCTCTGGAGTTCACGACAAGCCTGGGCAATACATTGAGACTTTGTCTCTGAAAAAAAATTAGCCAGGCATGGTGGGAGGTGCCTATAGTCCTAGCTAATCGGGAGGCTGAGGTAGGAGAATTGCTTGAGCCTGGGAGATTGAGGATGCAGTGAGCTATGATTATGCTACTGCTCTCCAGCCTATGCAACAGAGTGATACCCTGTCTCATACATCTATGTAGTGAGAGTTTGAGAGAGGAAATAAGACTTAGTGTTAGATAGATCAACAAGGTGACTATAGTTTACAGTAATTTATTATATATTTCAAAATAGTACCAAGAGGATAATTCAATGTTCCTAGCATAAAGGAAGGACAAACATTTAAGGTGATGTATATCCCAAGTACACTGATTTGATCTTTACAAGTTATATGAATGTATTACATGGGCACAGAGACCCTACAAATATGTACATCTATTATGCATCAATAAAGAAGGAAATTTAAAAATATCTTGAGACAAATGCAATTTGGAAACATAAATCAAAATGTATAGGATACTGAAAAAACAGTTCTAAGAGGAAAGTTTATAGCAATAAATGCCAAATCAAAAAAGAAGAAAAGTCACAAATAAATAACTTAATGTTGCACCTTAGGAAAATAGAAAAAGAAGAAACTAAGCCCAATGTTAGCAAATGGAAAGAAATAACAAAGATCAGAGTAGAAATAAATGAAATATAAAAGATCAAGAAAACTAAAAGTTGGTTTTTTAAAGTGATAAACAACATTGATAGACCTTTAGCTAGACTAAGAAAAAAAGAGAAAATATTCCAATAAATAAAATCAGAAATGAAAGAGAAGACATCACAATGACATCAGAGAAATACAAAGGATCATAAGAGAACATTACAAATAATTATATATCAACAAATTGGATACTCTAGAAGAAATGAACAAAATCCTAGACATATACAACCTACCAAGACTAAACTTGGAAGAAATAGAAAATCTGAACAGACCAATAAGAGGAGAGGAGATCAAAAGAGTAATAAAACATCTACCATCAAAGAAAATCCCAGGACCTGATGAATTCACTGCTGAATTCTTCCAAACATTTAAAGAAACACGAATACCAATTCTTTACAAACTATTCCAAAAAATCAAAGAGGAAGGAATATTTCCAACCTCTTTTTACAAAGCTAGCATTACCCTAATACCAAAGCCAGACAAGAACATCACAAGAAAAAAACAAACTACAGACCAATATCCTTGATGAACATAGATGTAAAAATCCTCAACAAAATACTAACAAACTGAATTCAACAACATGTTAAAATTATCATTTACCACAATCAAATGGGATTTATACCTGGGATCCAAAGATAGTTTAACACAAGGAAATCAATAAATGTAATACACCACATTAACAGAATGAAGAATAAGGTTCATATGATCATCTTGATAGATGCAGAAAATACACTTGACAAAATCCAATATCCCCTTGTGATAAAAACTCTAAATAAATTACATGTAGAAGGAATGTACCTCAACACAATAAAGGCTATATATGACAAACCCACAGCTAATATCATACTGAATGGGGAAAAGTCGAAAGCTTTTTCTCCAAGATCTGGGACAAGACAAAGATGTTTACTCTTGCCACTTCTGTTCAATATAGTACTGGAGATCTTAGCCAGAGAAATTAGGCAGGAAAAATAAATATAGGGAATCCAAATTGGAAAGGAAGAATTTAAATTGTCTCTGTATGCAGACAACATGATCTTATATATAGATAACCCTAAAATTTCCACCAAAAACCTGTTAGAATTGATAAACTTGGTAAATTTGCAGCGTACAAAATCAACATGCAAAAATTAGTATTGTTTCTGTATGCTAACAATAAGCTTTCCAAAAAAGAAATTGAGTACCATCCCATTTACAATAGCTAAAAAAAAACAAAAAACAAAAAACAAACAAACAAATAAAAAAAACCTCTTAGGGCTACATTTAACCAAGAAGGCAAAAGATCTATACACTAAAAGCTATAGAACACTAATAAAAGATCTATACACTACAAGCTATAGAACAGTAATAAATTGAAGAAGACACAAATAAATGGAAAGGTATTTCATGCTCATGGATTGGAAAAATTAATATTATTAAAAATTCTGTACTATCCAAAGGTATCTCAAGATTCAATACAATACCTATAAAAATTCCAATGTCATTTCTTATAGATATAAGAAAATCCTAACATTCATATGGAACCACAAAAATCTCTGAATAGCCAAGGCAATCATGAGCAAAAAGAACAAAGCAAGAGGCAGCACACCACCAGATTTCAAACTATACTATGAAGTGATAGTAATGAAAACAGCATGTCACTGGCATAAAAATAGACACAACAACCAATAGAATAGAATACAGAACTCAGAAAAGAACCCATACATCTCTTGTTCATTGATCTTCCAATTCACAATGTACAATGTGAAAAGGACAGTCTTTTCAATAAATGGTGTTGGGAAAATTGGATATCTATATGCAAAAGACTGAAATTGGACCCTTATCTCACACGATATACAAAAAATCAACTCAAAATGGGTTAAAGACTTAAACATAAGACTTAAAACTTTAAAACTACTAGAAAAAAACAGAGGAAAAACTACACAACATTGTTCTGGGCAATAATTTTTTAGATTTGACCTCAAAAGTGCAGTCAACAAAAGCAAAGACAGGCAAGTGGGATTACCTCAAAATAAAAATCTTCTGCATATCAAAGGAAACAATAGGGTGAAGAGACAACCTATGGATTAGAAGAAAATATTTGCAAGCCATATATCTGATCAGGGATTAATATGCAAAATACATAAGGAACTCCTCTCTATAGAAACAAAACAAATTACCTGGTTAAGAAATGGGAAAGGGACCTGAATAGATATTTCTCAACTGAAGACATACAAATGGCTAACAGATAAATGAAAACAATGTCCAACATTGGTAAACATTCAAGTGATATAAATTAAAACTACTATGCAATATCACTGCACACCTGTTAGAACGGCTATTATAAAAAAGACAAAAGAGAAGTGTTGGCAAGGATATAGAGAAAAGAGAACTCTTTATGCTGTTGGTGGGAATGTAAATTAGTACAACCATTACGGAAAAAAGTATGGAAGTTCCTCGAAAAATTAAAAGTAGAATTAACATAAGATCTAGCAATTCCACTTCTGGATAGTACCTGAATGATATGAAATCAGTATATGAAAGAGATATCTGTACTCCCTTGTTCAATGAAGTACTATTCACAATATCCAAGTTGTGGAATCAACCTAAATCTCTATCAAGGGATAAATGGATAAAGAAAATGTGATATGTGTATATGATAGAATACTGTTCAGCCTTAAAGAGATGAAATTTTTTCATTTGTGACAGCATGGATGACATGTTTGTGACAACATGGATAAAATTGGACAAACTTATGCTAAGTGAAATAAGCCAAATACTGAAAGGCAAATACTACATGTTCTCACTTTTATGTGGAATCTAAAGCAATTGAACTCAGAAGCAAAGTAGACTGACTGGTGGTTACCAGAGACTGGAGGGTTAAGGGCATGGGGAGATGGTGGGTAAAAAGCCTCACATAGGAGAAATAAGTTTGATTGCTTTTTTTCTTGAGATCAATAGCACAACATGCTGAATATAGATAATAATTGAGGACTGTACATTTCAGTATCACAGAGTAAATTTCTAATGTTCTTATCACAAAAATGTTAAATATTTTAGGTGATATATATGTTAATTAGCTTAATTTAATCATTCCACATTGTATTAAAAAACCACAATCCACTCTGTATCCCACAAATATATACAACTATAATTTGTCAATATATAATAACAAAGGAGTGATTTCTGGCAATGAATTCAACAGCAAAAATTAATTCTGGCTCATGATTGTTATCATTCAATTCCTTTTTATCTTCTACTGCAAACAAAGATGTTCCTATTTAAATAGAAATTGCTGAAAATAGTCAGTTATTAGGATTCATATATAACTGACACTGCTTTTCGAGATCCAGTTATTTCATTATTGGTAAGATTTTCAAATTGACACGTATTTATTAAATGCCTATAATGATTGCCAAGGTTCCCTCTAATTTTGAGAAAATTTCATTATTCTCTTCATATATAAACCATCTTAATTTCTGATTCTGTGACCCCGATTTGTATTTGAGTCTGAGTTTAAACTCTGCTCAATTGAAGAGAATAGTAATATCCATTTCGGGTAGCACAAGCTAAGAAAACAATGAATCATATTAAGTAAATTAAATAATTGTATTCACTTTAGAAACAGATTAATATTTTGATTTTTTAAAGTTAAAGGTAGTAATAATATCTCACTAGCTCTTTTAACACTTGAATTACTTACCTCAGAGCTAAAGACAGAAGACATGAAAGAAAATCTGGTTATTCCCAAATAGAGATGAAACTTGATACTACACATGGTTGAGAGGTGACAGCGTGCTGGCAGTCCTCACAGCCCTTGCTCTCGGCGCCTCCTCTGCCTGGACTCCCACTTTGGTGGCACTTGAGGAGCCCTTCAGCCCACCGCTGCACTGTGGGAGCCCCATTCTGGGCTGGCCAAGGCCGGAGCCCACTCCCTCAGCTTGCAGGGAGGTGTGGAGGGAGAGGCGCGAGCGGGAACCGGGGCTGCGTGAGGCGCTTGCGAGCCAGCTGGAGTTCAGGGTCAGCTGGAGTTCTGGGCAGGCGTGGGCTTGGCAGGCCCCGCACTCGGAGCAGCCGGCCAGCCCTGCCGGCCCCGGGCAATGAGGGACTTAGCACCCGGGCCAGCGGCTGTGGAGGGTGTACTGGGTCCCCCAGCAGTGCCAGCCCACCGGCGCTGTGCTCGATTTCTCACCGGGCCTTAGCTGCCTTCCCGCGGGGCAGGGCTCGGGACCTGCAGCCCGACATGCCTGAGCCTCCCCCAGGAGCTCCACGGGCTCCTGTGCGGCCCGAGCCTCCCCGACGAGTGCCACCCCCTGCTCCACGGCACCCAGTCCCATCGACCACCCAAGGGCTGAGGAGTGCGAGCGTAGGGCGCGGGACTGGCAGGCAGCTCCACTTGCAGCCCTGGTGCGGGATCGACTGGGTGAAGCCAGCTGGGCTCCTGAGTCTGGTGGGGACTTGGAGAACCTTTATGTTTAGCTCAGGGATTGTAAATACACCAATCGGAACTCTGTACCTAGCTCAAGGTTTGTAAACACACCAATCAGCACCCTGTGTTTCGCTCAGGGTTCGTGAGTGCACCAATGGACACTCTGTATCTAGCTACTCTGGTGGGGCCTTGGAGAAACTTTATCTCTAGCTCAAGGATTGTAAATACACCAATCGGCACTCTGTATCTAGCTCAAGGTTTGTAAACACACCAATCAGCACCCTGTGTCTAGCTCCGGGTTTGTGAATGCACCAATTGACACTCTGTATCTAGCTACTCTGGTGGGGCCTTGGAGAACCTTTGTGTGGATATTCTGTATCTAACTAATCTGATGGGGACGTGCAGAACCTTTGTGTCTAGCTCAGGGATTGTAAATGCACCAATCAGTGCCCTGTCAAAACAGACCACTAGGCTCTACCAATCAGCAGGACGTGGGTGGGGCCAGATAAGAGAATAAAAGCAGGCTACCCCAGCCAGCAGTGGCAACCCGCTCGGGTCTCCTTCCGTGCTGTGGAAGCTTTGTTCTTTTGTTCTTTGCAGTAAATCTTGCTATTGCTCACTCTTTGGGTCCACACTGCTTTTATGAGCTGTAACACTCACCACGAAGGTCTGCAGCTTCACTCCTGAAGCCAGGGAGACCACGAGCACAGCAGGAGGAAGGAACAACTCCAGACGCGGTGCCTTAAGAGCTGTAACAGTCACCGCGAAGGTCTGCAGCTTCACTCCTGAGCCAGCAAGACCACGAACCCACCAGAAGGAAGAAACTCAGAACACATCTGAACATCAGAAGGAACAAACTCCAGACACGCCACCTTAAGACACATGGCGACTTTCAAGAATTCCATTAATTTGAGTGACTCTTCAAAATCCTATCTCAAATATGTTTTCCAGCTAACTATATATTTTTAAAGAACAAATGTATGTTATTTATATACTGGGTTTCTTGACAACTTGATATTAAACAATGGCTTACTATGCCAGATTTAAAATGTATTTATTTAAATGTGCCATAATTAATAAGCAACTTGAAATTTTGGGACTGACATGAAAACATATTTGTCTATCTCTGATTTGCTCTTCTGAAGCCTGGCCATACTTCTTAGTCTTGATTCTCTGGCTCTCAGGGAACTGCTGAAAAATTTCTGAGGTCTTAAGATCACTTTCTGTAATTTGAACTCTATTCTGAGGCCATCCTTTGTAGTTGTATAGTTTCAAGCCTGAGATTAATACACATTTAATCTTTTAAAATTATTGCCCAGTGTCTCCTTAGGTTTGTCACAATATTTACCTTAAAAAGGGGTATCCCTTAAAGGAAAAATGTCTTAAATTTAGCAATAGGCTTTGGTAGATAAGAAGTAGGTTTTATTATAAAAATAATTGAAAGAAATAAGAGTTTTTGTTTCCTCCTTCAGGGCCACTTAAGTGACCCTTAGAATTCTCAATGTTGATTTTGACTGCTTTAAGTGTAGTGTGTGCGTGCGTGCGTGTGTGTGTCCCATTTCCTAGTTTAATTTCAAGTCTTACATTTTCAAATTTTAAAACCTAGCTAATGTCTCACTTCTTCAAAGAAATCCTGGATGAAGGAAGCTAAATTGTCTCCATCCACAGTAGTTCCATAATCTCTGTTAATCAGTTGTCAGGGATCTTAGTATTGCATCATCCTTCCTCATGACCTGTATTGTTCACCTTTTTTGGGGTCCTTCAGATGACCACTGAACTTCTCAATGTTGGCTTTACTTGAAGATAATTATGCTGCCTTATTTAACTTGCCAGGGGTAAAACAAGTGTGTGTGTGTTTTTTTTAATAAATGCTTGGAAAAATTGAAAATTTTCACCATTCCCCTTCTTTCTTGCTAATGAGAAATGGGGCTGGGATGACTCTCTAGTGAGTAGACCAAGGACCGCAGGGATTTTGTCATTTCTGTTGGCAGAACAGGAGAAGGAAGAGGTGGCTCCACAATGGGATAGGAGCAGGTGTTGGGGAATAGAGGAAATTTCTGTGTCATTAGGAGCTGAAAGTATACTGGAGGCCGCTGAAACTCCATGGACTTAATTGTTCATTCATTCATTCATTCATTCCACAAATATTTTTCAGAATGTTTGTATTTTCAGAATGCCTCCTCTGTGTAGGGTGGCAGGATGAAAGACATTCGTGTGCCCTGGAGCTTTTATTCCAGGTTAACTAGCTCTGCTTTCTGGTGTGTCTTGGTTCCTCTTTGTAGCGGCTCTGTGTTCTCCCTTACCTGTGTTTTTCCAGGCTCAGGGTAAGTTCAATGCGTGCTTTTTATTGAGAATGATGTTTATAACAAGACTTTTAACCTAATTTAGCTGCTGAAAATTTCCTATATAAGAGTATTTTTCCTTTTCCAAAATCATTTTTGTCCTTTGTTCCTTGTTATTTTCTTAACATTTAATTTTTATAAATAAATAAAAAATAGAGTGTCTTTCATTTTTTAATCACCTCTTTCCTCTTGAATTCATATTCTTCCTTGGCTAACTAAATAAAAATGCTTGGAGGATGTTTTTCCCCCATTTAAAAAAAATCTTGTTTATCTCTACATGACATTCTCTCTTTTCTGGAAGTGCTTTCACTTTAGTGCTTTTTTCTTTTGCCTTTTATTTGGCATTCTTTTTTATTCTTATGCTCATTGAAGTCAGTTTTTCTTTTTTTACACATTCCACCATTTCTTTTCAAGTTGGCCTGTATCAGCACTTAGTTTCTCTCTTTTTTCTTCTTCTCAATAAATCTTTTCTTTCTCTTAATCTTTTCCTTTTTCACCTTCTTATTCTCTTCTTACTCTCTTTACGTGGAAGAAGGATTTGGAAACTCTTTTTTTTTTTTCTTTTTTAAACCATTGTCCTGGGCCTTTCCCTCCAGAGTCAGAGGGGCATTCTCAGGATGGCTCTTGTCTCTCTCCCAGGGAGGCAGTGTTCGCGCCCTGCTCCTCTCAGCTCTTCACCCCTCCTCTTCCCCTCCTCGTCCCCTTTGCCCTTCATTCTCTGGGAACATGGTTAACAAGTCCTCTAGCTTTCCCATCTGTACAGCGTTTGGTTTGGGAGGCATTGTACTAGGTTTTTCTCACTCACCTGCTTAACTCCCCGGTTAGGAATGCTGAGAAATGGATTCCTAGCTCAGGCTAGTGAGGAAGGACCATTCCTTTTTGAAGCCCTTTCTAGAGCACCATGTGAATTACCAATATCTCTTTGGTAAATCTGTGGTACACACGGAAATGCTTGTTGTTTTCAAAAAGAAAAACTTCCATTCCTCTTGCTTCTATTTAAATAGATAATTCCAGGTTGGGGGTGGTGACTCATGCCTGTAATTCTGGTGCTTTGGGAGACTGAGGCAGGAGGATCATTTGAGGCCAAGAGTTGGAGGCTGCAGTGAGCTAGGATCAAGCTGCTGCACTCCAGCCTGAGCGACAGAACAACACACTATCTCTAAAAAAATTTTTTTAAAATAGGTAATTCATTTCATATTTTCTGGCCCTGTTTTTACTTTTCCTGTACTTCACAAATAACTATCCATAGTCACATATTTGAATATAGGCTGTTATGAAGTGCCAGCCTTTTCTTTGCTAGGTCTTAACCTGAAATAATGTAGATTTCAAGGGTGTTAGAACAAAAAGCCCTCATGGATGCTATCAAGACTTGCTTTCAAATTGGAGGCCAGACTCTGAAAGTAGTAATATAAGGGTAGCAATGGTCTATTTTCATTTTTAAAAAGGAGAATGCTTATAAGTGACAGATTATAAAAATGTAACTTTCCAGCTCCTAGCAATAATTATATCAATGTAGTATGTTAGCAGTGGTGTTGTCTTAAGGGAAAAGTTAAAAAAAATTATTGCCTAATGAAGGTGATTTGGCAGTCCAAAATTTTCCCAAGATGAGATGGGCTCAACATGGGGGAGAAGTAATAAATGTGGTCCTTTTTGTTCAAAACTTAAGGAACTCCTCATCAGAACACACTTCAGATCCAAATGCAGGGAGTGGTTGATGTGGGACCAGAACTCAGGACTTTTGACTCCTACTTGAGTGCTTCCCATTAGAAAACAGAATATTAATTCATTCTTTCATTCAGCGAATATTTATTGGTTGCCTATTATGGGTCAGATAGATGGAAAACAGGATGACGATACAAGAAACGCACAGCCAAGTAGGAAGATGGCAAAATCACTTGACAGAGAGTGCCATCACGGGTGCCACGCATCCTGCTAGAGTGGGCAGAGGGGTTATGGGAACCCATAAACTTTACAGTTTCTGCTTTTATTGACTCCTTGTTTTACGTCTATCTGCTATACTTACAAAATGTGCCTATTTTATTTCTATTTATGGGTATCTTGCTTGCTTTTAACCTAAGGTATTAAATTTAGCTTGTATTTCTCTATGATGATCAGCCCTTCTTCCACTTTTAGACCTCTTAAACCACAGTTACACCTCCCCTAGCTTGGCAGGTACTCAGTAAATGTGTGTGTGAGTGTGTGTGTGTGTGTGTGTGTGTGAGTGTGCTTTGATGAGAATGACATACAGTTTTTCCATCCGGGTGCCGTGTGTTCTTATTATAAATCCCTATCGAGTTTTATTGTGTTTTAGGTCTGCCCACTTCTCCAACTTGTGATTCTTATTGATTTTAACCAAGAACTTAAAGTTGTGGACCACTATTTATTTACCATGTTTCCAGTTCATGTATCTAAGTAGCTAATAAAAAATGTTGAATAGAACTCAGTCTAGGGCTAACAATGGCTCTCTGCTATGGTCCCTGCTCAGCAGATGAATTTGTAAGGAGGCTAAACTCACCCAAAGCCTCCCTAGAAAGTTTTTCTAAAGTCAAGGACAGCAAGTAAAGTTATTGTTAATTAAATGTTTAATATTCATTATAGTTAATATATTAATTTTTAGTCAAACTTACGATAAGGTAGAGTTGTATTTTTATATGATCAATGTATTTAACAGTAGGTTAGCACCCTTACATAATTACTGTGCATGTTGTTTTTGCTCATTTTTTAAGACCTGGGGCCTAATTTTACCGTTTTGAATTACTATAAAATTTTATAGTTGTTTCTTTTCCTTTGTGACATATTGTTGGTGATACATATGATTTATTGGATTCTGAGTCCTTGATCAAGAACACAACCCCTAACTATGAACTGGTTCTTATGGGAAAATACAATCTGCTTTACAATGATATATTTTATGATGGAGTTTCTCAAGAACTCATTGTTGCAACAATTGTGGACTACCTACACTTAAGACTACTTCAAATTCAAATTTCTATCAAAGGTCTCTGAGAAAGAAAAGCATAAAATTTACCATTACATTAAATAAATTAACCTAATTTTATTTTCATTGTTATTCTTCTAAGATAGACTTGTAAATTATTTTAGTATATGTGTTTTTAGGAGTAGAAAATCCAAAATGTTATTTTTTTCACTTAAGTGATATTATGACCTTTTAAAGGGAAAATGAAAAGGATGATATAAAAGGGTGAAAGAAGGAGGGAAGTAGAAAGGCAAGAAGAGAGCTTGTAATAAGTAGAAACACGGAAGGGCAAAAAGACCCTGAGAAAGAAGGCCAGTGGCCCCCAGGGTCTGCTGGTCTCTGTGGAGGAGACCCCCTCATGGTGGCCCCTGCAAGCACGTTGCTACTTCCCATACACTCTGTCTTTCTAAACCCTGGGACAGCTCTTCTTAAATCACCTCCACATCTGCCAGAGTGCCCTCTGAGCTTGCTCACCTCCAAGTGAACTGAACTCAATTTCGATCATAAAAAATAGATAGTTAAATATATGGCATTGGTCTCAGAGAATTGCTAATAACTGGCATTTGAACAGCACTAAAATTTCACAAAACTCCTTTTAGCTACATTTTCTTATTAATCCCTACAACAGCTTTGTGAGGAATACATTATTATTACCATTCCCATTTTAATGATTAAAAAAAAGCTCAGAGAGGTCAAATTACTTGTTTAATGCCACATAGCTAGGAAGTGGCATAGTGATAATCCAACCCTTTGGTTCTAATTCTGGCAGTTTTCCTATTATGCCTTCAGACCTCTCCACTAACCTTGCAAATACATATTTAGTGATAGCTCAGGGAAGAGGTGGTGTAAATAATTTCTAGCAGTGCGGAATACAGGCATCTCATTCTTCCTCAGATTAGTGTTTCCCCTGTGGGACACCTCTACAACTGTTCTTTTCTCCTCTCAAACACATACTTTCTATCTTTTACTTTTACCTTGCCAGTGGCATTCCAACCATCCCCTTCTGTCCCTAGACTCATACATCTGATTTTGGCCTCCTTGTGTGCGGAGGGAAGAACTATTTTGCTGTGGCTGTTCTGTACTTCATTTGTGCCTGAGGGCTTCCTTGGTTCAATCTGAGACTGACTTAAGTTCAGTGTAGCCAGGAGCCATGGAGGGGAAGGGAAGAGAAAATCTTCTTCTCACAGAGCACCAGGGCTACCAGGGAGTAACATTCTCCATCAATAGTTCTCCAAGGAAGCCAGAATCAAAATTTACAGCTTTTGTTTCCCCTTTCCGTTATCTTTCATATCTCATTTCTTCCTGCACCTGGTCTTATTATTGCTGTATTTGTGCCATAAATGAATATCATTAGAAAAGCTGATTTGCCATAAACTACATTGCTAATATCATTTATAACTCTGTTATGGAAAAGATGTTTTAGGTTTGAGTGACATCCAGTCTTAAAATTGCTAAGACTTATGTGTTGCAACACACCCCACTAGAAAGTACTCAATCATAGGATGTTCTTATTTATAATATATTATGCTGCGTAATGTAATATATATGTATGTGTTATACTAAAAGATATCCAAATTCATATTTCATAGAAGCTAATTCTCTCCTTAAGTCACATTAACCTCTATTTTACCAACTAATGAATCTTTGTTTCTGAGATTAGAAGGGTAAAGACAAAAACAAGAAGAAAAATGATTTTCTTTCTAAATAAGTATTTTGGTAGTTTAGTACATCAGTCCATAATTAATTATGTGGCAAGTAGCAATTATGATACAGTGGGAAACCCTAGGTCTATTTACCTGCATCTGAGGGTTAACAAAGTTGGGTTCAATTCTAGGGAAAGGGATCAGGAGGATTCATGGAGTTGAACACAGGATCTGTGCCACTGTTCTTGGTGAAGGGTAGGAAAGAGACCTTAGCAAACTCATGACTAACTTGTTCAAGGTTTCTGGAGAAGGTTGGCAGTGAGCATGGCAAGGAAGATGACCTTTAGAAGTGGGAAACTTAGAAGGAACAGGGACAGGTTTGGGGAAATGTAAATAAAACTCAGCTGGATGAGACACACTGAGTCAAACGAATTTGTTCTGGAAATCCCAGGTTCTCTGTGATCAACATACATTCAGCAGAGGATATGCAACTAAATGGGTCCATCCAATGAAGCGAATGAATAGTAGAAAGAAGCAATGGAGTCCACAGGCTCAGCTGTACCCCCATCAAAAACTCTGCCTCTCACCTGTGTGCTGGTCCTCTCCAGCAGGCATTCTCTTTGAGAATGCTTGAATGGGATTAGAGACAACCGAGAAGAGCAGAAGTGAAGACCATGTAATTACAGAAACAAATGCTTGGTACTGAACAACCTGGTCTCGGGGGCTATTTTTGGCTGCCTGGTCCTGGTTAACTCAAGACCGAGCCCTCAGTTCCCTTCCTCCTTACCCTTCCTGTGTTTCTATGTGTCCACCTCTGCTCATTTACTGAAATACCAATGACTTCTGTGCTTTTATCTCCCGCTTTATTTTCTTGCCTCAGGTTCAGCTCATACCAGACAAGCCCATGCCGTATTTTCACTTGGATGTTTTCCCATCAGGACAAACTCCACCTGGCAAGGCTGAGCTCACTCTGCTCCGTCCTAGCTTAGCTTCTTCTCCTAGAAACATTTCCCTGTTTCTGTTTGCAGTGATAACATGCTCCCCACTACACAGACTCAAAGTCATCTCGGACTCATCTTGCTCATTCTCATTTCCAATCAACTTCCAAGTTCTGTCAAACATTTCCTTAAAAGGTTTTCCCCCTCCTTTTCTTTCTATTCCTACTGTTAATCCTCCGTACCTAATCGCTCTTTAACCTCTTAACTGGTTCCTCTACAACCTCAACCACCGCATTTTGCCTGACATACTAATGCTAGCATATTATTTTTAAATATATTAAAAAATCACATTGAAAAAGTTTTAGAGACTTCGTTTTGCCAATGAAATAAAGATTACACAAGACCACACGGTTAGAGAGACTTAAGGTTAGAACCCGGGATTTTTTGTGCTTCAATTCTAACACTTTTTCTACTAAAGCATACTGTGTCTTATAAATTCCAGCGCAGGGATACATTATTTGTCCTATTTTATCTCTAAATGCTTTAGTTCTTTATACTTTGTTTTAATCTATAAGTTGCTTCAGTTTCTTTTGGAGGTAGGGAAGAGATCATAAAACTTGGAAATCAAAACAAATGTTGGTTAAAATAAAAATGCTGGCTTTACATTTTGGGTGTTTGGATGGTTTCTGATTCAGAATTCTCTCAGCATTGACTGCTGCTTCCAGGGAGAGCATCTCTGTTCTGGCTGGGCTGGAGGTAGCTGTGGGTCTTGTCATGCTGTATTTCAAGAATGTCTGGATAGTTCAATATTTCAATGCTGTTAAGGAATGGAATACCATTCTATCTAGGGAATGTTAGCTAAAATACCCATTTTAACAAAGTCTAAATTAGGGTGGAAGATTCTAACAAGGCTTGTTTATAATGTCTTCACTTGGAACTAAGAGGTATCCCACAAGGGCTCTCTAGCCGTCTTCAGGACCTAGAGGGTGGGGGAATTGGCCGACAAAAGCGGAGAACTTTGAGGAAGTGGAACTCCACCACTGTAAATACAGATGCCTGGGGAAACAGGCTTCACCCCAAATCCTAGAGGAGGACTATGCTGGGCTCAGCCTCCCGAGGACAGCAGACCCTCTATATCCCATTTTGGGCACAATAATTGTCTCACCTGTTAGTGGGTTTTTTTCTTATGCCACCAAGTTATAATGGATGAGAAATTAGGTCAAGATGAAGCCCTTATTTGGCAATTTTCATCTTTAATGCACTTTCCAAATGTTAACTAATTAATCTGCTTGACTGTGTTCCATTTAACAGTTGTGCACGTTTTATGTTCATAAATTCTTATAAACTCTTTATTGCTTTGATATTTCATTTCTGATTTATTCCCTGTAGGCCAAATTCACATAATTCTTTGCTGACATGATGCCACTCCTGCCTCCGCAATCTAGGTGTCTTCACTGTGGTAGATGCTCAAACAAAAAAATGAGATGAGGACATGGGAATGAGGGCAGGAAGGAAACAGCCTCATCCTTGTATATATCAGAAATGCCACACAGAGGCAGACCTGGAGCTCATGCAGGAACTGCCTCTGACACGCCACCAAGATTGAGTGTTTAAAAACAGAACCTTAGAACACAGTGCCTGTTGCATATCAGGCACTCAGTAAATACTTGTTAAATTGATAAATGAATGTGCTGAAGAACAGCCATGCTTCCCCTTCCACTCCAGTGTATCCATCCTTCCTCCTTTTCTCCCTCCCTCTCTCTGTCTTTCTTCTCTCTCTTTCTCTCTCTCTTTTGGAAATGGGGGTATGGCTATCCTTCAGCACATAAATTAATCCATTCAACAAGTATTTACTGAGTATCTATTATGTGCCAGGCCCTGTTCTAAGCACTAGGGATAGAGTGGTGAACAAAGCAGACCTCAGTCTCTGTCGTCATGGAGCCCCAACATCAGAAGCTTAGAGATCCACCTCAAACACCTCCCTCAAACATTACAAGACACTCTTGCCTTCTTAGTCTACAGCAGTCATCAGGGAAATGAGTTCCATATGTTTATTTTTCATGGGGTAAATTGGTACTAAAGCTTTCTCATTCAAGCCTCAAGATGTGCTGCCAGGAATTATTCACCGAAGCCACACCTCTACCATCTAGACCACTAGTTCCTGAGATTTTTTATGAACCGCATTAAGAATCTGATGATCACTATACATCCACTGAACAGGAGAAATATCTATAGGTAATATAAGTATATATTTATGTATACACACTCACATATAAATATGAAAAAAATGTGCATGCCCTTTAAATAAGTTTGTAAACCTAAAGTCCATGGGCCCTGGGTTAAGGGGCATCACCTACTCTAGAAATATCACTGTTTTATATCCTTTATTTCATTTATA